>NC_000005.10:87079503-87382534 GCF_000001405.40 Homo sapiens
CAGTGGAAAAAAGCCTGCCTTAAAGCGAGATTTGCAACAACCAATCCTAGAATCACAAACTAGCGAATAGAGGCTACCTTGCAGTACTACTTTTCTTGTTTGCTAACACAAGTATTATCTTATACTTACTATGTGCTTACTCTAGTACTATTCTCCATAGAGATGGAGGTCTTGTCAACACTTTCTGTACTATTTTTTAAAATAATTACTGTATTCAACACTTTCCCTTGAGAAATGCCACTTGTTTGAGTTGCTATAGAAAGTTGTACACTTAAGAAAAAAATGTAATAAACTATAAGCGGGTAGAATTCTACTTTGAAACCTACACAGTTCTCTAAGTGGGGTGAGAGGAATAAAGGTAGTGGAGAACAAAGTACTTTCAAAAATTTGACCTACTCCCTGTAATCCCAGCACTTTGGGAGGCCGAGGCAGGCGGATCATTTGAGGTGAGGAGTTCAAGACTAGCCTGGCCAACATGGTAAAACCCTATTTCTACTAAAAATACAAAAATTATCCAGGTGGTGGTGGCACACACCTGTAATCCCAACTACTCAGGAGGCTGAGGCAGGAGAATCACTTGAGCTTGGGAGGCAGAAGTTGCAGTGAGCCAAGATTGTACCACTGCACTCCCGCCTGGGCGACAGAATGAAACTCCATCTCAAAAAAAAAAAAAAAAAAAAAGAAAACATTTAAGCTATTGTGCAAACCAGCACAGAAATAGAATTCTACAAAGTGAAAGGAATGAGCACATAGTTAATCAATAAAGGTGATGAGTTCTGCAAAACATAGAGTAGAGCTTCAGTACTAATATTTCAGGTTTGACAATAGCTAGTAACAATGTGGTCTCCACTGGAATACACAAATTAACTTTTTTAGTATTGTAGAGTGTATCACAATGTTTATGTTTGGAAAGTGCCTGAGTTCAAATCCTGGCTTCTCTACTCATTACTTTAAAGACAAGAAATTTATGTAATTGCTCTCTGTTTTCATCTGTGAAATGGAGGAAATATTATTATCTGCCTCATCTAGTTATTTTTAGGATTAAGATACTATTTGTGAATCACTTAGCACATTGACTGGCCCATAGCAGGAGCTTATTAAGTACAGTATAATTGCTATTAGGAGAATTTTTTTCTTCCCTGCCTAAATAAGGACTACTGGCAAATACCCAATTAATATTATTTCTGAAATGTAAATGATATGTATAGTAATATGTCCTTTGATTACTGGATTGCCAGTCACTGATATTTTGAGGTTCTTTCTAATTTCCTCTTTCAATCCCTTAGAAAGACTTTTTAGGCCTTATAGAGATTTAACATTTCCTTCAAACCATGAGTTGTTTGGCTATAATATATTCTACAAGTTTAACTGAGCACCTGCCATATTCCAGGAACTAAAGCAGTAATATTGCTTTACATATAATTTTTCTACATGTACCAAAACAACAAATTCCTTGGTAATAACCAAAAAGTTAATTTAAAATTAAAATGAATGGTTTAAAGAATGCAACTAAAAACTATAAAACTTTGTAAGACATTATTATCTCTTTCATTGTCAAGACACAAATTTACCTATTTAGATTTCTTTTAATAATATGTATGGAATTTCAGGTTATAACATCATAGCACCAACAAATAGATTATTACAGTGATATGTGTCTTAAGCAGTAAGACTGTATTGCATCAAGGAATTTCGCATATGTGGAAATATAAGCCACATAGGTCCATAATTTAAGAAATATCGAGACATTTATCAGTGCTTCCTTTCACCAGTATGACATTGTGCTATTGTTTGCATGTAAAATTATCAGCCACTAACAGTTTGAAAAACCCTTTCAGTTGTATCCAACAAAGAATTCCGTTGGAAAAGAAATGACATGCAAAGAATGTTCAGTATATATTGGATAGTAAGATGTAGGAATGAGAAAGTGTGGAAATGCATGAACTGTGATATATTTCCTTATTTATTCCTGTCACTTAAATTCCCCAACTATTCTCTCAAACTTAATAACAAAACATATCCTGACCTTTAACAACTTTCAAGGCTGAAATGTTAACCAACATTTTGCAAAATTCTTTAAACACTTCCTCTGGAAAACACACAGCTCAAAGTGCTAAAATTGTCTTCTATAATAACCACAACAGGATCGTAACAAACCTGCTTTTAAAAACCAAATAAAGTCTTCCGTGGGGGCGGTTCACCACTTCCCCTTTTTCAACATGCAGGAACTAATTTAGCTGAGAAGATAAAAGCAAGAGCTGCCTACATATGTACAAGGAAACTAGATCCTAGAACATAAAATTCCTCAGGGGCAGGGTGGTCTGGGCAGTTTTCAGTAAAAAGAGCTTTCTCTGACTTAGAATGTCACAAATGGAAGGAAAGGAGTCAGAAACATGTATGTATTTGCATTGAAGCAGACAGAAGAAGGGACAGAGGCACCCAAAACTACTTTCAGTTGTAACTATTTATGTGTTTTCCAATTATGTAATTTTATGCCCATTTTCAATTTAATGTCAATATAAAGATACTTAAGAATTCAAGACTAAGATGAAAGGCTACTCTCAAACCACCACAGTATCAGAAAAGTAAAGAGCCTAGAGTTTCTGTCAGAGGACCATACCCTCCCCTCCTTTCATAGGAAGAACTCATGAAATACTATCTCTTCCATAAACCCTTCACTCTTTCAGAAAGGTAGTCATTTATTACCATCCTAGGAGGTCTAAACATGCATGTAGGATGTGGTCTTCTCACCAGAAATCCCATAAAGTACATTCAGTTTGTTACTCATGTATAACTTCCCAACTTCATTTTTGTACTTATTCAACTTACTGGTTATCTACTTGATTATACGTCTGTGGGATATATTCAATGGACTCTGGTATATTATAAACTGCAAGAGTATAGGGCACAAGCCTCATTAGCTCAACATGTATATTTGCTAACAGTATCTTCATGTAATAAATGTTCTGTAGTTTTTAATATAATGACAAGAATAGAGGGATATACAAATACATAAAGGGTAGACTCTGGCCATCCATCCATCGCTCTTACTGAGAGGTTTTATGAGATTATCACCCAACAGCATGTGTCCCATCAGTTTTTCTATAGACTTTAAAAATTTTTTTTGCAAATATATGAGAGTCAAAAGCAATAAGTACTATTATCCTTTAAATACAAGAAAAAAATGTGCTCAAAATGTGTCTTCATTAGTGATGCTTACATGTTTGAATACTATTTGGTGACATTATTTACTCCTCTATTACTGTCACACAAATTATTTTTGAAAGGTGAAATTTAAGTACCAAATTAGGAGAAAATGTACATGCAAAATTTGATCATGTGAGAACATACATGCCTAGGCAGAAATAGGAAGTCAATTATGTATATAGTATGAATTTTCCCCTTTCTTAAAATTCCATATATATTCAGAACCCATGACTTCTTATTGACATATCAATGTAATATATCATCATATTTTCCTTCTATCTTCTTCATAAAATTTTTTCTGTACTGGATTCCATTGTATCAAATCATTGGGTTTTTTATCTATATATTTAATTTCCTCAGTACTCACTCTATAGAAATACATTTGTCTTTTAATTGGTGTTTTAGGGCATAATTTCTTAACCCAAGAAATTCTGGAATCTTTCAAACTGTGTCAGCTTTCTGTTACTGATATATCTATTTGGCTTTAGATATGAGTGTATGGCTTGCCTAAGTATTTTTGTACAGGTAAAAAAAGTGAAGAAAAAAAACACAATCAATTGGTTGTTTTATGCAGCTAAACAGCCACTTCAACTCTCCCATTCTGATAAAGGGGGTCATAAATTGTGACCCTCCACAATTTAAAACATGACAAAATCAGACTATTTTATTTGGTCTTAACATTTTTATTGTCTTGGCTACATCAATATCAATGACAATGAGAAAAATTGGGCAATTCTTTTCTTTCCCCAGTCTCATTCCTTCCCTGTTGTTGGAGGGAGACTTGCAGAGAAGTAAAGAACTGTCAACTTGGGCACCTTCCAGGGCTATAAAAGGGACCACCCATTAAAGCATAATGTTCTCCCTCTCTCATTCTGGTAAATTCTAAGCAAGAGAAAACACTTTCTACTCTGCACAAAAACAGGTCTTGCTGTTTTTTTAAATGGCCGCAAATTTTCCCTCTCCCCACATCCGTGTTTTTTTCTCGTAACTTTGTATATCCTCCCATTAATAGAGGTAGCCTTTTTCTCCACCCCTTAAATCTAGGTTGGCTGTTTGACTTGCGTTACTCAAGGATACTTACTTCAGCAAGTGACACAAGGAGAGGGTTGAAAAGTGCTTGCACTTTGGGACTTGCCTTCTGGTTGTTCTGGGAACCCATCAGCTGCCATGTATATAAGTCCTTCTGAATAAGCATGCTGGAGGCTGAGAATAGGCTTGCTGGAGGATGGGATGTGAACAGTTGTGCTAGCTGATGAGAGACATGTCACCTAGGCTGTCCTATCACCCCACATAACAAGGAGCTAACTACCTGACATGTGAAACTGTGCCCCAATCAAGCTGACAACTGACATCAGACACAGAAGTGAGAACCCATAAGCTGCAATCAGGAGCAAAGTGACCAGATAATCCCAGCCCAAATCACCAACACACAGAATCATAAGCTAAATAAACAGCTGTTTTAAGCCACTAAGTTTTGTTCTAGTTTGTAATTCAGTAAAAGCCTACTGGTACACTGACTCCACAGGAAGGAAACTGGGATTTGTTTATTAAAGAAAATTTATTTTTCAATATGGGTTTGAACTTTGCTACTCCTGATTGTTAATATTTGTCTTTGGGAGAGGTACATATGTTTGCTCTCAGGATGTTATAGTTTAATAAATGTCTGTAGTTCACATTTCCTTAATTGTCTAAAAGAAAATTCAGCATGGAAGAGGGTGGTTCCAAGATGGCCAAATAGGAACAGCTCCACTCTACAGCTCCCAACGTGAGCAACGCAGAAGATGTGTGATTTCTGCATTTCCAACTGAGGTACCGGGTTCATCTCACTGGGGCTTGTCAGACAGTGGGTGTAGGACAGTGGGTGCAGCCCAGTGAGCATGAGCGAAAGCAGGATGAGGCATCGCCTCACTTGGGAAGTGCAAGGGGTCAGAGAATTCCCTTTCCTAGCCAAGGGAAGCTGTGACAGATGGCACCTGGAAAATCGGGTCACTCCCACCCTAATACTGCACTTTTCCAACAGTCTTAGCAAACAGCACACCAGGAGATTATATCCTGCGCCTGGTTCAGAGGGTCCCATGCCCACAGATCCTCACTCATTGCTAGCACAGCAGTCTGAGATCAAACTGCAAGGCGGCAGCAAGCCTGGGTGAGGGGCATCCGCCATTGCTGAGGCTTGAGTAGGTAAACAAAGCGTCCAGGAAGCTTGAACTGGGTGGAGCCCACCGCAGCTCAAGGAGGACTGCCTGCCTCTGTAGACTCCACCTCTGGGGGCAGGGCATAGCCAAACAAAAGGGAGCAGAAACCTCTGCAGACTTAAATGTCCCTGTCTGACAGCTTTGAGGAGAGTAGTGGTTCTCCCAGCACGGAGTTTGAGATCTGAAAACAGTCAGACTGCCTCCTCAAGTGGTCCCTGACCCCCAAGTAGCCTAACTGGGAGGCACCCTCCAGTAGGGGCAGACTGACACCTCACATGGCCGGGTACCCCTCTGAGACGAAGCTTCCAGAGGAACGATCAGGCAGCAACATTTGATGTTCAGCAATATTTGCTGTTCTGCAGCCTCCACTGCTGGTACCCAGGCAAACAGTGTCTGGAGTGGACCTCCAGCAAACTCCAACAGATCTGCAGCTGAGGATCCTGACTGTTAGAAGGAAAACTAACAAACAAAAAGGACATCCACACCAAAACCCCATCTGTACGTCACCATCATCAAAGACCAAAGGTAGATAAAACCACAAAGATGGGGAAAAAACAGAGCAGAAAAGCTGAAAATTCTAAAAATCAGAGCACCTCTCCCCCTCCAAAGGAATGCAGCTCCTCACCAGCAACAGAACAAAGCTGGATGGAGAATGACTTTGACGAGTTGAGAGAAGACTTCAGTCTATCAAACCTCTCCGAGCTAAAGGAGGAAGTTCGAAACCATCACAAAGAAGCTAAAAACCTTGAAAAAAGATTAGATGAATGGCTAACTAGAATAACCAGTGTAGAGAAGTCCTTAAATGACCAGATGGAGCTGAAAACCATGACGTGAGAACTACATGATGAATGCACAAGCTTCAGTAGCCGATTCGATCAACTGGAAGAAAGGGTATCAGTGATTGAAGATCAAATGAATAAGATGAAACAAGAAGAGAAGTTTAGAGAAAAAAGAGGAAAAAGAAATGAACAAAGCCTCCAAGAAATATGGGACTATGTGAAAAGACCAAATCTACGTCTGATTGGTGTACCTGAAAGTGACGGAGAGAATTGAACCAAGCTGGAAAACACTCTGCAGGATATTATCCAGGAGTACTTCCCCAACCTAGCAAGGCAGGCCAACATTCAAATCAGGAAATACAGAGAATGCCACAAAGATATTCCCGAGAAGAGCAACTCCAAGATACATAATTGTCAGATTCACCAAAGTTGAAATGAAAGAAAAAATGTTAAGGGCAGTCAGAGAGAAAGGTCGGGTTATCCACAAAGGGAAGCCCATCAGAATAACAGTGGATCTCTTGGCAGAAACTCTACAAGCCAGAAGAGAATGGTGGCCAATATTCAACATTCTTAAAGAAAAGAATTTTCAACCCAGAATTTCATATCCAGCCAAATCAAGCTTCGTTAGTGAAGGAGAAATAAAATCCTTTACAGACAAGCAAATGCTGAAAGATTTTGTCACCACCAGGCCTGCTCTGCAAGAGCTCCTGAAGAAAGCATTAAACATGGAAAGGAACAACTGGTACCAGCCACTGCAAAAACATGCCAAACTGTAAAGATCTTCGATGCTAGGAAGCAACTGCATCAACTAATGAGCAAAATAACCAGCTAACATCATGACAGTATCAAATTCATACATAACAATATTAACCTTAAATGTAAATGGGCTAAATGCTCCAATTAAAAGACACAGACTGGCAAATTGGATAAAGAGTCAAGAGCCATCAGTGTGCTCTATTCAGGAGACCCATCTCAGGTGGAGAGACACACATAGGCTCAAAATAAACGGATGAAGGAAGATCTACCAAGCAAATGGAAAACAAAAAAAGGCAGGGGTTGCGATCCTAGTCTCTGATAAAATAGACTTTAAACCAACAAAGATCAAAATTGACAAAGAAGGCCATTACATAGTGGTAAAGGGATCAATTCAACAAGAAGAGCTAACTATCCTAAATATATATGCACCCAATACAGGAGTACCCAGATTCATAAAGCAAGTCCTTAGAGACCTACAGAGAGACTTAGACTCCCACACAATAATAATGGGAGACTTTAGCACCCCACTGTCAACATTAGACAGATCAACGAAACAGAAAGTTAACAAGGATATCCGGGAATTGAACTCAGCTCTGCACCAAGTGGACCTAATAGACATCTACAGAACTCTCCACCCCCAATCAACAAAATATACATTCTTCTTAGCACCACATCACACTTATTCCAAAATTGACCACATAGTTGGAAGTAAAGCACTCCTCAGCTAATGTAAAAGAACAGAAATTATAACAAACTATCTCTCAGACCACAGTGCAATCAAACTAGAACTCAGGGTTAAGAAACTCACTCAAAACTGCTCAACTACATGGAAACTGAACAACCTGCTCCTGAATGACTACTGGGTACATAACAAAACGAAGGCAGAAATAAAGATGTTCTTTGAAACCAGTGAGAACAAAGACACAACATACCAGAATCTCTGGGACACATTTAAAGCAGTGTGTAGAGGGAAATTTATAGCACTAAATGCCCACAAGAGAAAGCAGGAAAGATCTAAAATTGACACCCTAACATCACAATTAAAAGAACTAGAGAAGCAAGAGCAAACACATTCAAAAGCTAGCAGAAGACAAGAAATAACTAAGATCAGAGCAGAACTGAAGGAGACAGAGACACAAAAAACCCTTCAAAAAATCAATGAATCCAGGAGCTGGTTTTTTGAAAAGTTGAACAAAATTGACAGACCGCTAGCAAGACTAATAAAGAAGAAAAGAGAGAAGAATCAAATAGATGCAATAGAAAATGATAAAAGGGATGTCACCACTGATCCCACAGAAATACAAACTACCATCAGAGAATACTATAAACATGTCTATGCAAATAAACTAGAAAATCTAGAAGAAATGGATAAATTCCTGGACACATACACCCTCCCAAGACTAAACCAGGAAGAAGTTGAATCCCTGAATAGACCAATAACAGGCTCTGAAAGTGAGGCAATAATTAATAGCCTACCAACCAAAAAAAGTCCAGGACCAGATGGATTCACAGCCGAATTCTAGCAGAGGTACAAGGAGGAGGTGGTACCATTCCTTCTGAAACTATTCCAATAAATAGAAAAAGAAAGAATCCTCCCTAACTCATTTTATGAGGCCAGCATCATCCTGATATGAAAGCGTGGCAGAGACACAACAACAAAAGAGAATTTTAGACCAGTATCCCTGATGAACATCAATGCAAAAATCCTCATTGAAATACTGGCAAACCGAATCCAGCAGCACATCAAAAAGCTTATCCACCACAATCAAGTGGGCTTCATCCCTGGGATGCGAGGCTGGTTCAACATACGGAAATCAATAAACGTAATCCAGCATATAAACAGACCCAAAGACAAAAACCACCATATGATTATCTCAATAGATACAGAAAAGGCCTTTGACAAAATTCAACAGTCCTTCATGCTAAAAACTCCCAATAAATTAGGTATTGATGGGACGTATCTCAGAATAATAAGAGCTATTTATGACAAACCCACAGCCAATATCATACTGAATGGGCAAAAACTGGAAGCATTCCTTTTGAAAACTGGCACAAGACAGGGATGCCCTCTCTCACCACTCCTATTTAACATAGTGTTGGAAGTTCTGGCCAGGGCAATCAGACAGGAGAAAGAAATAAAGAGTATTCAATTAGGAAAAGAGGAAGTCAAATTGTCCCTGTTTGCAGATGACATGATTGTATATTTAGAGAACCCCATCGTCTCAGCCCAAAATCTCCTTAAGCTGATAAGCATCTTCAGCAAAGTCTCAGGATACAAAATCAATGTGCAAAAATCACAAGCATTCTTATACACCAATAACAGACAAACAGAGAGCCAAATCATGAGTGAACTCCCATTCACAATTGCTTCAAAGTGAATAAATTACCTAAGAATCCAACTTACAAGGGATATGAAGGACCTCTTCAAGGAGAATTACAAACTACTGCTCAACGAAATAAAAGAGGACACAAGCAGATGGAAGAACATTCCATGCTCGTGGGTAGGAAGAATCAATATTGTGAAAAATGACCATACTGCCCAAGGTAATTTACAGATTCAATGCCATGCCCATCAAGCTACCAATGACTTTCTTCACAGAATTGGAAAAAAACTACTTTAAAGTTCATATGGAACCAAAAAAGAGCCCACATTGCCAAGACAATCCTAAGCCAAAAGAACAAAGCTGGAGACATCACACTACCTGACTTCAAACTATACTACAAGGCTACAGTAACAAAAACAGCATGGTACTGGTACCAAAACAGAGATATAGACCAATGGAACAGAACAGAGCCCTCAGAAATAATACCACACATCTACAACCATCTGATCTTTGACAAACCTGACAAAAACAAGAAATGGGGAAAGGATTCCCTATTTAATAAATGGTGCTGGGAAAACTGGCTAGCCATATGTAGAAAGCTGAAACTGGATCCCTTCCTTATGCCTTATATAAAAATTAATTCAAGATGGATTAAAGACTTAAATGTCAGACCTAAAACCATGAAAACCCTAGAAGAAAACCTAGGCATTACCATTCAGGACATAGGCATGAGCAAGAACTTCATGTCTAAAACGCCAAAAGCAATGGCAACAAAAGCCAAAATTGACAAATGGGATCTAATTAAACTAAAGAGCTTCTGCACAGCAAAAGAAACTACCATCAGCGTGAACAGGCAGCCTACAGAATGGGAGAAAATTTTTGCAATCTACTCATCTGACAAAGGGCTAATATCCAGAATCTACAAAGAACTCAAACAAACTTACGAGAAAAAAACAACGCCATCAGAAAGTGAGCAAAGGATATGAACAAACACTTCTTAAAAGAAGACATTCATGCCACCAACAGACACATGAAAAAATGCTCATCATCACTGGCCATCAGAGAAAAGCAAATCAAAACCACAATGAGATACCATCTCATACCAGTTAGAATGGCAATCATTAAAAAGTCAGGAAACAACAGGTGCTGGAGAGGATGTGGAGAAATAGGAACACTTTTACACTGTTGGTGGGACTGTAAACTAGTTCAACCATTGTGGAAGACAGTGTGGCGATCCCTCAGGGATCTAGAACTAGAAATACCATTTGACCCAGCCATCCCATTACTGGGTATATACCCAAAGGATTATAAATCATGCTGCTATAAAGACACATGCACACATATGTTCATTGCAGCACTATTCACAATAGCAAATACGTGGAACCAACCCAAATGTCCAACAATGATAGACTGGATTAAGAAAATGTGGAACATATGCACCATGGAATACTATGCAGCCATAAAAAAGGATGAGTTCTTGTCCTTTGCAGGGACATGGATGAAGCTGGAAACCATCATTCTCAGCAAACTATTGCAAGGACAAAAAACCAAACACTGCATGTTCTCACTCATAGGTGGGAATTGAGCAATGAGAACACTTGGACACAGGAAGGGGAACATCACACACCGGGGCCTGTTGTGGGGTGGAGTTAGAGGGAGGGATAGCATTAGGAGATATACCTAATGTAAATGACGAGTTATTGGGTGCAGCACACCAACATGGCACATGTATACATCTGTAACAAACCAGCACGTTGTGCACATGTACCCTAGAACTTAAAGTATAATAAAAAAAAAAAAAAAAAGAAAATTCAGCATGGAAAATGCATCTACCTTGGACCAAAGAATAAGAAAACTGGTGGCCACAATACAGGCTTAGGTTTCAACTATCTCTGACCATCCTAAGGACCCTAGAAGCTCTTCTCCAGATGTGCTCTTCTCAGACTGCACAAATGTAGGAAGAAGGAATTGGACACAGAACAGGAGCCTTCCTGCAAGTGGAATGGCAATTCATGAGAGAGGTGGTTGGAGATGATCACAGAGAGAATTGGAGGAGATGCTGGAAAGAGGGCAAGTAGAATCAACTAGGACTTGGGAAATTCTCATTAAATTTACCTTGTGAATTACTTAGGTACATTTTCTCTGGTTCTCTGGGAAAAGTCCTATTTAACATGGTTTTAAACATTTACTCTTCTACCTTATAATTCCCTTTTGAAATTATTATAAACATGGTGTGATAACCATGAAAGGACTGCTAAGAGCAGCTGGAAAATAATGCATGTCCCTGAAGAAGACTCAGGACAGACAGCTAGACAACTATCTTCACTCCTCCTCCACCAAACAATAGAGGAGGCTGACTTCTAAAAGAAGCAGGACAATATTCGGGTTTCAAAACCTAGAAATATATCTCCCAATGCTATCCCTCCCCCCTCCCCCCACCCCACAACAGTCCCCAGAGTGTGATGTTCCCCTTCCTGTGTCCATGTGATCTCATTGTTCAATTCCCACCTATGAGTGAGAATATGCGGTGTTTGGTTTTTTGTTCTTGCAATAGTTTACTGAGAATGATGATTTCCAATTTCATCCATGTCCCTACAAAGGACATGAACTCATCATTTTTTATGGATGCATAGTATTCCATGGTGTATATGTGCCACATTTTCTTAATCCAGTCTATCATTGTTGGACATTTGGGTTGGTTCCAAGTCTTTGCTATTGTGAATAATGCTGCAATAAACATACGTGTGCATGTGTCTTTATAGCAGCATGATTTATAGTCCTTTGGGTATATACCCAGTAATGGGATGGCTGGGTCAAATGGTATTTCTAGTTCTAGATCCCTGAGGAATCGCCACACTGACTTCCACAATGGTTGAACTAGTTTACAGTCCCACCAACAGTGTAAAAGTGTTCCTATTTCTCCACATCCTCTCCAGCACCTGTTGTTTCCTGACTTTTGAATGATTGCCATTCTAACTGGTGTGAGATGGTATCTCATTGTGGTTTTGATTTGCATTTCTCTGATGGCCAGTGATGATGAGCATTTTTTCATGTGTTTTTTGGCTGCATAAATGTCTTCTTTTGAGAAGTGTCTGTTCATGTCCTTCGCCCACTTTTTGATGGGGTTGTTTGTTTTTTTCTTGTAAATTTGTTGGAGTTCATTGTATTGCTAAATGACGAGTTAGTGGGTGCAGCGCACCAGCATGGCACATGTATACATATGTAACTAACCTGCACAATGTGCACATGTACCCTAAAACTTAAAGTATAATAATAAAAAAAAATGGCACACCAAAGGGATCAAGTTAAATTAATTAATTAGTAAAATAAATAGAACTTTGTAGATTGGGTTCTCATCAAACCTCTAGAATGTTCTCTCTTTTTCTTATTCACTATCTTTTAATCTTTAATACAGTATGAATAGTAATGAAATAACAAAATTAAAGTCAAGATTGACATCAAAATTAAAATCAGAGTTACTCTGCCCTGACTGCTAGGACAATTGTTTTTGACAGATCACAGTTAACTGATCCCCAAACTTTGTGTAGGGATTGACATTATTATCAGTTTCAGTATTTCAGACTGTGACATGCTAGCAGATCAAATTTCCAGAGAGTGAGAAGATCTGCATATGAAGCCGGCCAAGAAGACATAAATACTTTTTCATAAATAACTTGTGTTTGCTTGGAGACATAAAAAGACTGGAGCAGGCCGTGGCATCTCACAGTGATGGCTCAAGAAAAATTATGTCTCTCCTTCCCCAAGACCCTTTGCTTGTTGTTGATGTTATCTCTTAACAACCCCTACAGAGACAGTGGGCTTTCTAAAGTCACTGTAGAGCCAGGTGCGGTGACTCACGCTTGTAATCTCAGCACTTTGGGAGGCTGAGGCTGGTGGATCATCTGAGGTCAGGAGTTTGAGACCAGCCTGGCCAACATGGCAAAACCCGATCTCTACTAAAAATACAAAAATTAGCTGGGCGTGGTGGTGGTGGGTGCCTGTAATCCCAGATACTCGGGGAGGTTGAGGCAGGAGAATCACTTTAACCCGGGAGGCAGAGGTTGCAGTGAGTCGAGATGGTGCCACTGCACTCCAGCCTGGGCGACGAGAGCGAAACTCTGTCTCCAAAAAAATAGAAATAAAAATAAATAAAGTCACTGTAGAACCTGTCATCTTATGCTAGAAATAAATATATGTGTCTGCTTTGCCAAAAACAAAAACAAAAACAAAAACAAAAAAACCTAGAAATACACAAAGGTGCCTGGAGTCAAGAATTATTCAGAAGATACTTAATAAACAAAATCTCTTTTAAGCAAGCTCCAGTTGTACTCCTGAAATAATCACTTTGAAAGGATTCCTGGTTGCAAGTTGGAGACGTTAGTGGAAATGAAATACTAAACCACTATGTAGCTAATTTCATCTTTTGAAGTTCCTTAAATAAGGGTCCCCTTTTCTCCTGAAACACTATTTTCCTTCTAGTCTTATTGGTATTTTCAAACACACACCTTCTGGTAGACTGCAAGCCATCCAAATGAAAGAGTTATGTGCTAGCCACTAATGAATACCCCAAGCACCCAAAACTACACATTACTTTGATTAGTTGTTCAATATTCTTTTGATTTATTTTAATAAAGTGATGGGTAAATTCCTGAATATTTACACAATCAACAGATACTTAAATTAGATGAATTAAATTAATAAGAAAATGGATTTTACTTCGAGAGTAGAGAGAACTATTGAGAGGTTTCAGATACAGTCAGTAAAATCTAGAAAAAAATGAAGTAAGAGGTGGCTTGTTAAAATAAGTCTCAAACCACTATCCTAATTGAGGTGTCATTAGTTCAGAAAAGGATCACACAAACACCTAGCTTAATAGCTTATAGGCTTATGAACTTTATTCACTTTAGTAAGAAAAAGAATCTACCTTTGAAAACAATTTTTAACTATTTCCCCAATGTTAATTTAAAGGCTTTCATGTACATTTAATTTTCTACACTAATATAATATATCCAAGACAAAGAAGAACCAGGAGGCACTAAGTTGAAAAAGACAATTCTCAACTATTTCAAAGGGAGAGCAAAGGGATAGTTTCTACATAAACATTAATTTCATTCAGTTGATCGCAATATGATATTTTACCTCTCACCTTTCCTCCTCCTTGGAATTTTTGCTCCATCCTTCTTCATGCTTTGGGTAGAATCCAAGCCTATCACAAGATTATTAGGAAGGGTTCTGAAAATTCATGCCTCTAGATGAGAGGGGGAGAAAATCTTTCAAAGTCTCAATATTAATTCAGAATCTTAATTCTGAATCTGAATTAAGTCATTTAAAAATACTTATATATGTAGCAATCATTTCAGGTTCTTAACAATAAAAATAAAGGCTAAATTATCTTTCTCAAACAATCTGTAAGATACAGAAACTGATTGGTGCTTATGCATTTTCCTGTCTCTCTAAAATTATAACTTCCCAAACCTTCTGATTTTGTCCCAGAAAGGTAAATTCAAAGGCCTAGTCTCTTGCCCTTGGCATTAATTTGAGAGATGATGCAGACATCTTCTCAAACATATATTCCTTTCTAACATGTCACAAAGCAGATTTAAATGGGTACAACTTCAAAGCCAAGCAAAAAAATTAAATGTTCATACTACAGATTGAACATCTAAAGAGATTTTAAGGAAAGTTCCCTTTGAAAATTCTGCCCTTGAGAGAGAGTTCGCTTTTCATCACACATTTAGATTTTCATACTTGCTACTTTCACAGAGCATTCTGAAACTATTTCTCCTCTTGTGGTTGTAGTTTAACACTAGATCTAATAGCAGAAACCACTTTTTTCTGCTTATCTTAAGCAGGAGCGCAATCTGAATAAATTAATTTTATTTCTCTCCTGTTGGGGAAGTTCAGTCCAAATATCTATAAACAGATTTCCAAGTTGCATCTCCCATATTTAGATTTAAACAGTTCATCCATCACAAATACAGATTTGAAAATTATGTCCACAAATCCATTAAAGAAGTTTATTACATTCCATTTTGAATGACTGCAATTTGTTGGAACAGCAAGTAGGAAAACTAAACATGTTTGCATATACCCTGAAAAATTACATAATCTGAAAATTCTATTTTACTGGCAATTTAGTAATACATTATACCCATTGCATTTGCAGGAACTATGAAATGTAGCATTTCATAAAATGCTGAAGTTTTCTGAAATAATAACGTTAGATAGTAGCTTTAAAATTTTGAATAACACTAGCCATAGTCTAGCACCTTGCCCTCTGCTATGTAAGTTAAAGACCACAATTTCTCCTAAAGTGGCTTTAATGACATCAGCTGAAATTGTAGCGAAAAAAGAAAAGGAAAGAAGAAAAGCAAATAACAGTGAAATAAATAAATAAATCATTCCTGGTTTAACGATGTAAAAACAGTAATGAATTTCCAACTGAAGCGTCTCCAGAGTTAACATAGGACAAAGAAACAAAACTCTGTTACATAGAAACATCTTTTATATTGATGCTATGAAGTGAAAACTAGAAGCCACATGAAGGTAAACTATAAGCAATCGCAGAATCACTAGCTGCCTCAATTACATTAAAAAGCATTTATTAAATACACTATAGATGACATGGAATGGTCTTAAGAGACATCTGTGAAAGACAGTATCACTTCAGGATGGTTTAAGATAAGCAAATTCCAGTTAGCTGATATCAGTTATTTTGGACAGGAAAAACATATTGAAAAGCTGTATCATTAAGAGTCAACAGTATTATCTACAAGAAAGATGCTCTGAAAAGTCAGATTTTTAAGACTTAGCACTTGCAGTTTATGAAGTGGTAAGAAAGGATTTAAATTTAAAAAAAAAATGTTTATAACAGCTTGAAAGTCAATTGAAAGAACTAGAATTTATGTAGAGTTCCCTGAAGGGTATTTTGTTTATCTATTTCTAGGATACATGACCTTCAAACTTGTTTTTAGCCATGGAGCCACTTACTCAAATGAAAAAGATTAGCTCTGATCTCTAGAGCTGCCTTACTGTTGGATAATCTTCCAGTTTCAGACCATGTGCATCCTTAAAATCCCTAATTAAAATTCTCATCGGAATAGTGGGAGAAAAAAATGACATGAGGAGAAAGAGAGAGGTCATGGCAATCTTGATTGTCATTGTTGCTGGCTATCTTAAATGTCTCTGGGGACAATCTAACCCAAACCCCACTTTCAATTCCTTGTTCCACTTCTCCACTCCATTCCAGCTAATCACACCTGAGGCTGCAACCAAGTTTTTTTTATTTTCTGGAATGGCAAAATCTCAAAAGTCTTTATTTTTCTTATCATTCTCTCTGGCCACAGCACCCTTTCCAGATAACTCTGCCATTCCCCACACTAGTGTTTCTGCCTTATGAATACAATTATTTCTTCAATGTCTAAACTTCCCTGATGCATCACTGCTATCCGTAACCTAAATAGACCTCATAAATCACTTAAACCAGTGCTTTTGAATCATTTGCATAGCATGATAGAAAAAATAATATTTTAATTAATTTTAACATTTTATTTTAATATTTTAAATGCTCAAGGCTACTTATGCCAGTGGAAGTAACTAGCCTGAGAGTTCTGGCTCCTCTTGCCATGCTCAGCCCTTAGAGGGCTAAGAGGAGCTTTATCTCAGCATCTAAGTGTGCTACAGCTACAAAAGACATTGTGAGTTTTTGTGGAGGAAAATTTTGGGAAGCTCTGACTTAAACTACTTTTTACTAGGACCCTCAACTCCCTTGCCTCCTTATTCTCCCAAACAACCTGCCCTCAGTGCTAGAGCAACATATTCAACTATGGATTTCTTCTGCTCTTCAACATAAATTCTTGAGCATTATGGGGAAAAGTCACATGGTAAGGGGGACTGGTACCAACACAGGGTCTTGGTCTCTAACTTTGGATAGGTTCTGAAGATCAGCTGGCAATCTTTTGGTGAGCTCCTAAGCAACTCCATCTCCGATGCCATGTAACAGCCTTTTAAACCTTCACCATTCTCTTGAAGATCTTAATCCTAAACCCTCAAAGACTCTTAGGCCCCCCTTCACAGAAAAATAGAGGGTATTAGGTAAGTGTTCTTTCAACTCTTGCTCTCTCCCAGAAAGACTTGTACCTGAATCCAGGAACTCCATCTTCTCTCAGGATTCAGTGAAGACTTACCCAAATGCAGGCTAATTCCTCCTACACACTCTCTAGATCCTACTTTTCTCTGAATTCCTTGAGGAAGCCTTCCCATAAATTATCACTTCATTTACTGAATTTAAATGCAGCCTGTCTATAAGCTGTTTCTTAGTCTGATAATTATGTTAAAATCTTTCTTAATTCTACATTTCCCTATTTCTCTTCATCCCACCATAGCCAAGCTTTGTGAAAGGATCAAGTGACATTCATTATCCTCTTCACCTCCTATTTACTCCTGAAATGGAAATGTTTCGCCTCCCTTCAATTCACTGAATCTGCTCCTGTCAAAATCACTAATAACCTCCTAATTTCTCAACCCATTGGACGCCTTCCAGTCTTTAGCCTCCTGAACCCAACTTCGGCCTTCAAGACTTTTGACTCACTTTTCAAACTCTCACCCTGCTTGCTTTCTGTGCTATGGTTCTTTTCTGATTTTCCTTCTATTTCTCCAGATGCTCCTTTTCAAAATCTGTTGTGAGTCCCTCTTTTTCTACCACCACTCTTTTTTTAAAACTTAATATGCTCCAGATTTTATTATGAGCCATGTCTTCTCACTTTAAATACTTTCTCTGCAGTTCTTATCTAACCTAGTTGTAAATGCCCACTATAGGCAGGTTAAAACCTTTAGTTCTCTGTCTCTATCATTAGAATGTAAACATGTTGAGGGTAGGGAATTTTTCTTATCCCTCATTGTATTTTTAGCATCTAGCACATATTATGTGATCAGTATATATTTGTGGAATGAGTGAAGGAATTTTACATCTATATTTTTATCCCAGATGTTACTTTTAAGCGCCAGGATAGTTATCACATTGCCTACTTTCTGTTTCCGTTCAGATGTTCCTCACATGTCTCAAGTACATATTTCAGCCCAACCTCATCACACTTCTATATGTTCCTTATGGTGTTCAGATAACAGTCACAAAGTGGGTTAGTAAGACACAGTGATCACCCAGCATTCTTATCATGATGTAGTTTGTGGTTCTCTGCTATAAGAATTAACAGCTTGAAATGGAAAGTATAATGCAAGAATAATATTTCAGAATTTATTGATTCATACAAGGATACAAACATAACTCTTGAAAATATATCTAGGGCTTATTAATCTTGTAGTTTGGCCATACACTCACATCTTCCTCTATTTGAGCCTCCTGAAACTAATTTCAGCCTTTTGATTTGATTTTTGATCTGTTTAGAAGGACTGTCATATTTTCTCAACTCCTTCTCTTCCTTTACAATAATAGATGAGCTGCCAGCTCCTTCTGGAGGCCTTGGGTTTTGTCTTCCTCTCCCGAGTCTGGAGTGAATCCACATGCTACCTGTTCAAAGCTCTGAAGGCCTGCCTGGCTCATAGAATGTATCACCTACTATAGGAACTACCTGTTGATTTCTTTGTTTCCTGTACTACTTAATGAGCTTCTAGAGGACCAGAAGGTTATTCTGTTCTTATATTCTGTATGCCCAGAGAGAAGCATAGTGCCTGGCACAGAGTAAGTCCTTAATTAATAAATTTGGGTAAATAATGCTGGCAAGATGAGGGTTTTGTTAATGGGAGTGAGTAGAAAGAATAAAATTATACACAATTGAATGGATCATTAGGTTAAATCATATGTTTTAATTCAGAATATAACTTATTTGCCACCGGGCGTGTGGCTCACACCTGTAATCCCAGCACTTTGGAAGGCCGAGGCAGATGGTGATCACCTGAGGTCAGGAGTTCGAGACCAGCCTGACCAACATGGTGAAACTGCATCTCTACTAAAAATACAAAAATTAGCCGGGCGTGGTGGCGGGCGCCTGTAATCACAGCTACTTGGGAGGTTAAGGCGGGAGAATCCTTGAACCCAGGAAGCAGAGGTTGCAGTGAGCTGATATTGCACCACTGCACTCAGCCTGGACAACAAGAGTGAAACTCCGTCTCAAAAAAAAAAAAAAAAAAAAAAAAAAATATATATATATATATATATATATATCTTATTTGCTTATATTTGCTGATCTTCCAAAGGGATCAATAAACTCATCATCTGTAAGCTTAATAAGGATAAGAATAATGAAGGAGAGTTCTTTAATCCAGCCAGTATCATAGCCACCTCAGATTTGGCCACTGTTCTGCACAGCTCCTGAATGTGACAGAGTAGGTCTTCACCTGCATTTTCCTTGGCACTCTCCTTTTTTGCATTTCCATGTTTTCTAAGGCTTTTTGCCTGAAATGTGGTCCTGATGACTAGAATTCTGGCGGCCATTGTGGAGCTTTAAGAAAAAGGTGAACAGAATCACAGGAACTTCTGCACTAACATTTTTAAGCCATGAACAAGCAACTACCTACCTCTACACTTCTTATTACAGGAGAAAAATAAGTCCTGATGTGCTTAAGTCACTATGACTAACAATAGTCATATTCTTAGCTAATAGAATAGCCAACTACATAATATTATTTTAAATGTTTTGAGACATTCCTATCACCTGCACTCCTACCTCCCCACATTCTTACTGGATTCCCTCAACACACACACTGACACAGCACAGCACACATACCCACCCATATACACATATCCCATTCATCAGTTGGCCAAAGCCTGAAATTCCACAATTTGAGACTCATTTTCTTAATTTTAGTCTTTGATCTGCTTCAAAATATGAATGACCTTTGAATTAGTAGCACTTAACTTTAGACATTCATCCTTCCACAAACTTTTATAGCTTGTTTATTGTGTTGCCTGGCACTCTGATATGTATCTGAAAGTAAAGAAGATACAGTCACTGCCCTGAGGAGATTATACTCCAGTGATAAAGTCATTCCCAGGCCGGACACAGTGGCTTATACCTGTAATTCCAGCACTTTGGGAGGCCAAGGCAGGTGGATTGGTTAAGCTCATGAGGTTAAGGCTGCAGTGAGCTGTATTCTGGCCACTGCACTCCAGCCTGGGTGACACAACAAGACCCTGCTTCAAAAAAATATTAATACAATAAAAATAAAGTTATTCTCAAAAACTAACATTAAAATAGAGTCTCTGTGCTTGGAAAGAAGCATTAGCTTGTATTATTGAGGCACAAGAAAGGCATATCAAATTCATTATGGTGGGCAAAAGAAGATTTCCCAGAGGAACTTTCATTTTAGTTGAATGATCAGGACAAATAAAAGCTGGAGAGCTATTTGTTCAGTGGGAGTGGCAGTGTGCAGGGAAAGCATAAGAGGGAAGAGATCAGCAGGGGGGAATTCTGGGCATGGTAAGCATGGGAAACAACACATTTCAGCCTGACTGACCCATAGGGTATACCCACAAGTGTGTTGTAGGAGAGAAAAAGGAGGAGTCTTATATAAAATTTTATGACTTTAAACTTATGCCAGAACTTAAAGAAAACCATGAAGTATTCTAATATATGTTACAACATGATTAGATTTGCATTTTTGAAAGATTCTACTTTTCAGTAATGTGCAGAAAGAAATACAGAGGGATAAGTCATGAGACAATTAGTACAAAGTGGTTTATCTCAGAAATCCAAGTAAACAGTGATCAAAACCTATAGAAGTAGCAGAAACCATGACAGTATAGTTGGTAAGGGGGCAATTATTAGGAAATACTTATGAGATCAGATGGACACGACTTGGTAAACAACCAGATTGAAAAGTATAAAAGCAGAGGAGTTGGGAATGCTACCTAAGCTTCTCACTTGACCAATAATAATATTTATAACTACCCATACTAAAGCTTGATTTTTTATTTGAAACAGGGTCTCACTCTGCTGCCCAGGCTGGAATGCAGTGGCACAATCATAGCTCACTGTGACCTCCAACCCCTGTGCTCAAACAATCCTCCTGATAGGCTCCCAAAGTGCTGGAATTACAGGCATGAGACACTGTGGCTGGCCTAAAATTTTAACATATGCCAAATAAGTAGAAAAGGTGACATTTGAACACAAGCCTCTATGACTCCAAAGCCTGACAGATAAGTCAGCATTGCCTGCCAATGCCAGACCACTGACATTGCCATATATCAAAATTACAAAAAAGCACTTTGGGGATAAATAACAGAGAGGACAGTTTCACCTTATTCACTTTTTTCACTTTTGCATGTTCTATATGAAGACAAAATCTTAACATAAAATTTCTCACTGTATTTCCAAAATCTCAACTCACTATGGGTGCAAACACTTTCTGATAGAGACATTAGAGGCTTATAAATAGTATATGTCCAGCTCAATTGTGTAAAATCCCATAACAGAGACTTAGATATGCCTGGATGGGGTTAAATGTAAGTGATCGGTTTCAAAAGGCTCTTCTGAAAAATAACAAATATGCTGGTGCCAATGATATTTCATTTTGTTCTCACTTCTTCCCTTGCCTCATCAAGTCTGAATTTCCAGTCATTAGTTACTATGGAATGTGGACTTCTCTCAAATGAGGTTTCAACCTGACACCATCACTATTTCACCTTTCCATAGCTGCAATAATTTCAGGCATCCATATAATAACCAACACTAGAGATGTGTAAATAATCTGCCACAGTCCGTCAGTGATTAGGATTGTTTGTCTAAAAATGTCCTTAGGTCAGCTAGCAGGATGCTGTTCTTCTAACCTCTTCCCATTCTGCTTTTTGTTTTTATGTCATTTGCTCACTTCTCACAGGATGTGAATTTGACTGCAATGTCACAGAACCGTTAAGAACTTTGTAGAATTAAGACCGTACAGCACAGCCCATATTTCATTCATCCTTAATCCTCAAATGAAGTCTGTTAATATTTATAAAAGATGTCTACATTAATGATTCCTTCTTCTTCAAAAGGCAACTTCTCAGTCATAAAAACTTGGTTTACATTTTTTTCCTTATTTTTCCTCAGAGTGACACTATTTATAAGAAAAGAAAAGCTGGTTCATGCCAAGAAGAATGGAGGGAATCCTTGGCTGTCTAAATTTGCTAATCTCATGAAATAGCAAATATTTGAAACCGCTTCAGCTGATCCCCAATTTATCACACCCATGCAGACAAAAATCACTGACATTGAAAGTTATAATCCTGCACAATCTTATAATGCATATTTTGTTCACTAGACTGATAATGAGTTCTTTTTTAAAGTATCACTGATTCAGCCACAAGTCACTGGCTGTCAAAAAATGGCAGATTGCTCTTCTGATAAAGTGACACCATACGAAATACATCTTTGAACATAGGCTGCTTTTTAAATTGTAGAGCTCACACCTAAGGAAGCAATACCATTAATTGGAAAATGTCTTAAGATCACAATGTGTTGCAACAATGGAGTATCCAGTTATGGGTTTTGGACAACAGGAATAAAAGAAAACAATGTTAATTTTCTATTCAGTCCAAACAAACCATTAAGTACTTTGTTAATGTGTTTAATTTTTCTTTCCCCAGTCCAGCAGTAGCACAAATGCTGCCACTCTGAAACTTTCTCTATTGTAGTAAGATTCTTGTTATACAGTTCTCTGGCTTCAGTTCTAACACATTATTTTATTGCCTCCGTTACTTAAATATAATCATTACCACTCTTCCAAAACTGCCATGAGGCCTGCACTGCTTGGAAGGAGAATGAGGGTTTGATTTCCTTTGGGCAGGAGAGGGAAACTGGAGAAATCCTATTTTCTCCAGTTAGACTCACCAACCTGCATGTCCTATATGACAGACAGACTCCTGCTGTAAGGGTCTAGATTCAGACTCTTTCCCCCACATTGCTTGTTTGGGATCTTCATCAGTCCCAAAAGAGGCACACTAAATGTCTTATCCTGAATGTAAAATTTAAGTTGAAGCAAAGAGAAATGAGAAGGATGGTAACATCTACCTCACCAGCCAGACCAGTTGAATATATCCTGGAAATGAACAAGGGGTTAGTGTTGTAGCCAAATCACTTCACATCTCTCTATTTAATCATTTTCAAATGCAATGCTTTAGGATTTACCAATTCTAATTTGAAAACAGCTGTATTCTCCCATCAAAGGTATCTAACTCGAAAATCAATTTTGGTGAGGATTGCTAAATAGCACAGCTTGTGTATTTATCACAGGGCAATAGTAGTAAAACTCATGCACATAAATTGAAATATGGCCATTCTCATTTCTAAAAATACAAGTATTGGGCTGGGCACAGTGACTCACACCTGTAATGCCAGCACCTTGGGAGGCCAAGGCAGGCAGATCACTTGAGGTCAAGAGTTCAAGACCAGCCTGGGCAAAATGGTGAAACCCCATCTACTAAAAATACAAAAATTAGCCAGCATGGTGGTATGCACCTGTAATACCAGCTACTTGGGAGGCTGAGGCAAGAGAGTTGCTTGAATTCGGGGGGCAGAGGTTACAGAGAGCAGAGATAGTGCTACTGCACTCCAGCCTGGGTGACAGAGGAAGACTGTCTCAAAAATTAAAAATACAAGTATTAAATGCGTTCTAGTTATAATACTTTCTATGTTTCAACATTTCTAACTTATCTTTCCTAATTTTATGGTAGAATCCTCTAGACGTTCATAAAGACAAAGATTACCCATGGAATTCCCTCCCAGTGTTTTCCTGGGGGGCTGAAAATGAAAATAAGCAGAATTAAAGTTAATATCTCACGAGTTTCATCTTTTGATGAAGACCCAGCCAGCCGCAAACATTGCTTCTCCCCTCACCCCCATCCCAGTGCCTCCTAATCAGTCAAGGACTCAGTTCAAAGTGTCTAGTTCAAGACAAAAGGGAGTTTGAAACATTTATTCAGAACCAAAATGAATGTATCAAGTTTGGTTTTTGCCAACTGTGCAAATCCTTTTCAGTGCATGCAACATTTATACTGAACCAGCCTAACAGGCAAGGTCCCATGTCAGATCCTGTAGAGGCAATACAATTGAATGTGTAGACAGGAACCTAGATTTAGCAGGGGAATACCCAAGTATGCAAATAACTGCAATAAAATGATATGCAACTTTCAGCTCTCAGGTTAAATATTACTTCTTCAGAAAGGCTCATCTCTTCCTAAATCTAAATGAATCTTCTTTGTTAGCATTTCTCTTATACTTTTGTTTTTCTTCATAACAATTGCCACAATATGTTATTATATATTTACTTCATATTAGTTTGTCTCATATGTCTTCCCCAGTTAAGGGTAAGTTCAAGAAGGCACATTTTTTTTCTCCTTTTTCTCACTGTTACTCAGATTAACACAATGATTGTCACTGTCAAAAGAAAAAATAAGCAAATGAATGCAAAAACTTGATTCAATTAGTGAGAGTGAAGTATAAATAAAATGCAGTTAATTGATTTGGGAAGCCTTAGGAAGATTTCATAAAGGAAGGGAAATTTCTGTAACTAGGATTTCAATATTTGAAAGGAAAGGAAAAGAATGTATCCCCACTGGCTAAAAGAAAACTATAAACAAAAGCAGAAAAGGGGAAAGTGCAAGGCTAGATTCCTAAATGAGCTAATAAATATCACATGCCAGATTTGTTTTTCTATAGCTACTTACCAAAAAGTACATTTTAATTTTAAGATATTTGGGTCTTGATTGTTCCACAAAATCTATACAAGACTCTAAAAGAAGCATTGTTTTTAGCAACTGAAAACACCATGAATAGTAAAATCATTAAAAATAATGCCACCAAAGGAAAAAAATTTCTGATATTTATTAGGACATCATTTAGGACACAAAATGCTATGTCAGTTTTGCCTGCAAAGTAAGAAATTTCCTGCATTTTTGGTTGATGGCAGGTAACCTGAAAGAAATCACAGCATTGGCAAAATAATTGAACATCCATGTGGCATTAAGATTACAATCTAAAAGTATATACACACCAATATATAAAAGAATATTTTGTTAAGAATGGGGACACCTTAGCTTCATAAGAATAATCCATTTGAATTTGTAAGTCTTGATCCAGCTTAGAACTCTGAATCTTATTATCAAACTTCTTAGATGCTTTTTTTCACCCTCTTCTAAAAGAAATTAAAATACCCTATTTCCATCTGGATTACAAAAACAAAAATAATGGCCTTTTCACTAAGTTTAGTGTTAAAATAACAAATTAGTATGAGAACACCATGTGTGCCATTGCTACTAATGTATTTGAAAGCTTCAGAAATTTATCCAGACATATTTACTAAGAAACCATTTATTAAGCAACTACCATGTGCTACATACTGTGCTAGAGCTGGGCATATAGTCATAAATAAGACAACAAGTCTTGTCCTTTTGGATATTACATTCTACTCAGGTAAAACAGTAGCAGTACAGCACAACACAGATAGTACAGGCAGTAATAAAAATAATTACAGATAGTGATAAAGATCCTAAAGAAAATAAGACAGTAATAAAATTATATTAGACCATGTACAATCAAGGGAATCATCTAAGTATTTGAAACAAAGATAATGAATTAGTGGAAGAGCTTAAAAGTCAATTAGGACAGTGAAACTTCCCAGAGATTAGCAAAAGCAGAATGTCCTTACTACTCTTAGGTTGGAGGAACAAAGGAAGGAGGTCATGTTACCAGTTTCTAAGGCTTGGGGTCATCTGGAAGAAGCTGGAATCACAGTACAGGTGGAATGGAAGTGCAATGGAAGAAGTGGAACCACAGTGAAGGTGGGAACTGGAGGCATGAAGAAAACACAGGTAGTGCTGGAGGCACCATTAATAACTATGGATAGCATTTTCTCCTTACAAATGTATGGGGTAATCAATACACATACCAAACAACAGGAAAAAAAATCTGTTTTAATTATAAAAAGTTTTAGGGAGCACTAAATGAACTTTTAAATTATCGTATATCATATATTCATTTCTTCAGGAAGTAGTTCATAAGAATCTGCCATGTGCCTATACACCATGGAATACTACGCAGCCATAAAAAAGGATGAGTTCTTGTCCTTTGTAGGCACATGGATGAAGCTTGAAACCATCATTCTGAGCAAACTTATCACAAGGACAGAAAACCAAACACTGCATGTTCTCACTCACAGGTGGGAATTGAACAATGAGAAAACTTAGACACAGGAAGGGGGACATCACACACCAGGGCCTGTCATGGGGCTGGGGGAGGGGGGAGGGATAGCATTAGGAGATATACCTAATGTAAATGACGAGTTGATGGGTGCAGCAAACCAACATGGCACATGTATACATATGTAACAAACCTGCACATTGTGCACATGTACCCTAGTACTTAAAGTATAATAATAAAAAAATAATAAAAAAAAAGAAAGAAAAAAAAAGAAACTGCCACGTGCCAAGCATCATAGCAAGTATTGAGGATCCAACTGGGATACGGTACTAGTCATGCACCTTGACCACCTAAAAGTTAGTAATTGGTGATAATATCATTGTAATTTCTAGGACAGCTATATCAATGCTTTGTATGTAGTAGGTGCTCAATAACTGTCAAATGAATGAACAGGAATTTCATTTATTTATTTCATCAAAATGAATAAATTCCAGTTATTGGTAACTTTCAATAACTAAAAAAGTATATTAGAATATTCGACCGGGCGTGACCGCTCACACCTGTAATCCCAGCACTTTGGGAGGCCGAGGCGGGCAGATCACCTGAGGTCAGGAGGTCAAGACCAGACTAAACAACATAGACAAACCCCATCCCTCCTAAAAATACAAAAAATTAGTCGGGCGTGGTGGTACATGCCTGTAATCCCAGCTACTCAGGAGGTTGTGGTAGGAGAATCGCTTGAACCCCAGAGGCAGAGTTTGCGGTGAGCCAAGATCGCACCATTGTACTCCAGCCTGGGCAACAAGAGTGAAACTCCATCTAAAAAAAAAAAATTCAGCAAGCAGGTTTAAACAGAAAACTGACTTTATTCCCTTAAGGTATAATTGTTAAAAGAGTTGAAATGGTTCCTGAAAAATAGTACATCACTGAGAAAAAGACGTAGAAACATTTAAAAATTAAACCTTTGAGCAGATTTGGAAAAGAAAAAGCAAAACTAAACAAAACAAAAGCCTAACTGGCTTCTTCCGTAATAGGGAAGTATTGGCTATTACTGGGGGAAAACAGTACAACCACCAATCCGATAATCAAGTACTTGTTAAGACCCTTATATAAAATGCTATCATTTTAAACAGTGTGATTTAATGTGGAAGCAAATTAGCATAACATATAGAATAGAAAGGATATTGTCAGTTATCTTCAACATGTCTCTGCAAATTATACCCAAAATTCACTTAATAAGAACTTTTAAGATATGTAAATATGCCAAAGATCTAGTGTTTTCTATGAGATTATATACTTTTTTCTCATTTACCCTACTCTCATGGCCTTTCATACATATAAACATTGTCTAGCATCACGTATTGATCGGCATATAGTTGGGGATAAAGTGACAATCTCTTCTTATTAGCTATGGTATGATCAGTAAGCTAGTTATCCAACAATAATGCTTACTATAGTAATGTATGAATGTCTTGAAACCTGAAATTCTCTAAATGTTTGGTGATCTAAATATTAAAACATTATATTTTTTGAAGAACCAAGCCAAGATTAATGAAAGAATAACCAAATAAATGGGTCTATATGCCAGTCTTGTGCTAGATACTGGAGAATACTATATAGAAACACTATCTAAAAACAATGATGAAAATTTTAATTTTCATAATTTTACATAATTGTATGCTAAAATTATTTTTTTAACTCACAAGAGAGAAATATTCCACCAAATCTAGTCAAATATCTGCTTATCTGAGGAAATAAAAAGAGTTCATTGTATCCAGATTTAGGATAAATCTGTTACTGCAAGCAGAGGCATCTGTTGTTACTAGCATTGTGTGTGTGTATGTGTGAATATGAAGTGAATATGAATTTTACTTTCATAAGCTTTTTTTTTTCATCTAATTTCCAAATTCACAGTTGTGGTGAGATTTAAAGGGAATGAGTTCTCCCAAAACTCTAAAGAATGTAGCATTTAACTAAAAAGAACTGTAAATGCTGAGAAACAATGTGCTTCTGTGCTTATTCAGCCCAGTAACTCTGAGTTTTAACACAGTAATATAGCAGTCTTATATTTATGAGAAACCGAAGACCACTACAACTCTTTGAGGGCAGGAATATACCAAGTAATTCTGAAGCATCTGCAGGCATACCAGGATGAAATGGAGTCAGGAATCAAAAAAGCAGGAAATATATTTTTTCCCTTAAAATTAAATATACCCAAAGGAAGTGGCTGCCGTGATGGCAGATTATCGCGGTTGACGTCCAAACATTTAACCTGGACTTAGTTTCCCTCATTGTCAGTATAAGGATTTGCACACACACACTACAAGGTTGCATCTATATAGCTAAGTCTTTGGCAGAGTAGTCAGGAGTGTTGATTCTGGAGGTACTCAGGACCAGGTTCCATCCTGGCTCCACCACTTTCCAGCTATGGGAACCTGAGTAGGTGGTTCACCTTTGCAAATGTGGTCACTTTCTTGAAATGGTGAGGGGAGTGGAAGATGAAGCTTATCTGCCCACTACTGAGGGTTTTTTCAAGGTCCAGAGATCCCCTGTACTGGCCTCTCTCCATGTTCTACTCACTCTACTCCACCTCTTGGGATATATTTCTCTGATTAGTAAATTTTGAAAGAATAACTGTTCATACTCAACTCCAAGAAGCAAGCATGTGCATAGAAATCAGAGAACAAAGATATGTTCTGCACTTCCATGTCCTAAATCTTACCTAGGGAGGCTGTCCCAGTTCAGCATTGTCATAATTGGTGGGTAGGACTTAAAGCCACATCTTCTAATATGTCCTCTATTTTTTTTTTTTTGGAAAAAAAATCTACTCAGGAGGCTGAGGTGGGAGGATTGCTTGAACCGAGGAGTTTGAGGCTGCAGTGTGCCGTGATTGCACCACTGCACTCCAGCCTCGAACTCCTGGGCTCAAACGATCCTCCGACCTCAGCCTCCTGAGTAACTGGGACTACAGGCAGGCACCACCATGCCCAGCTGATTTGTTTATACAAAAAATTAATATCCCCACATTACTTATTCCTCAAAGTCCATGTTTCTCATGTAGTGGTGGTATTCAGACCACCGGCATTAGAATCTCCAAAAGCCCTTATAACAAATAAAGATTCCCAAATTCACTCAAACTAATGAATCAAAATCTGTAGGAATGTAGCTCAGGACTCCGTATTTTTAACAAAGACATCATGTGATTCTTAAGATTCATAAAGTTTGTTGTATTTTAACACATTGGAGTCTAGTGTAAGATGCCAATATAAAATGGAAGAGGAAACATGTTAACTCAGTTATTATTATCTGCTAGCAATTCAATTTGTTGAATTACACTGAATTGTACTTACTGTCAGATTATTGAGATTTATTTTTCTTTTTTGTATCTCAGTTCTGTTATCCCGTATTTTAATATAAAGTAGTTGCTGGTAAGATATAACTTTAAAGAAAAAAATATAGGAAAATCTACTTCCAGAACTTCTCTGTGTATGTGGAAACAAGAAGCAGTTATTCCAATGTGCCTTTTAGTTACCAGATGTAAGGTGAATATGCACCCCCTGTCATGGACACTAGCATAACCGAGCCTTTTTTAACTTTGAGTAGTTCAACGTAAGGATAAAAATCCTACCTCCTGATCATCAAGGGTCTTCGGATGAAACAAAGTGTCTATAGACTTTTGAGAAAAAACTGATTCTGTCATATACATGCGCAAAACAAAACAAAGTGGGCCTGACGAAGATTTCCCAGCCCAGTAATTCACAAAGGGTGCTCCCCAGACCAGCCATATCAGCATCATCTGGGGACTTGTTAGAAAGGAAAATTCATGAGCCCACCCCAATCCAACTGTATAAGTCTGCTAAGGTTGCCATAACAAAATACAACAGACTGGCTGGCTTAAACAATATAAATTTATTGTCTCACAATTATGGAAGCTAAAAGCCCAAGATCAAGTGTCAGCAAATTCGACTTCTCCTTGGCTTGCAGATGATGAGTCTCTGCCCTGCTGTGTCCTCCCATGGCCTTTGCCCTGTGTGCATGTATCTAGTGGTGTCTCTTCCTCTTCTTATAAGGACATCAGTTATGTAGGATTAGGGCACCACCCTTGTAACCTCATTTAACCTTACTCTTTAAAGGCCCTATCTCCAAATACATTCTAAGGCACCGGGGGTTAGAACTTCAACATATATATGTGGGTGGCACAGTTCAGTTCATAGCAACTATGAGTAAGAAACTCAGAGGTTGGAGCCCAGCAACCTGTGTTTAATACGTCCTTCAGGTGATTTTAATAGGAAGGTAAAGTTTGAGAATTGTGCTGCCTAGTGAGGACCTCAACTCACCGCAATGAAAGGGTAGTCTGAGCTGAAGTGATAGGATTATTGTAAGGATCTATAGACTTTTGAGAAAAAACTGATTATGTCATATACATGCACAAAAAAATTAGTCTAGAAGCCCTCAGGACCATCATTGTTTTGGCAAACTTGTGAAATAAAGGGAGTTCTAACCAGAAAGTCTAAGTGTGAAGCTTGGCCCCTAGGCAAGGATCTGGCCACTAAGAGCACAACTGCAAGCATCCATCAACTACTAGTGTCTGCCAGAAGCAAATGGATTAAATTCTCCACTATTCTCCCCAGCTGGCCTTGGGAAGTGGACTGAACCTTTTGGACTGAGTGAATTACTCCACATGGATTCTTAGATAATTCTGGAAATGGTGGGATCTCAAAAGAGAACTGATGCTATATTTTAACACCTTGGAGTCTATCTTAAAATTCAAATATAAAATGAAAGAGGTAATACATTGATTAGGTCATTGCTGAGATGATAAATTAATCTCAGGGGAAGGATTACTGTGCCTCCTGTATGAGTTGCAGAGAAAGGGTGATGGAGATATTAAAAAGAAAGAACTTTTTAGTTTAGGACTCAAAATGCTGGCTGGCTGTCACGCCCATCTGAGGAGCTTATCAAATAATGGATTCCATAGGCATACTCATACCTGATTGAATCAGACTCTCCAATGACAGGGCCTCCAGCCTCCTGATCTTCTGAGTAAGTGGACAGTTGGCATGAGATATAGAATTAACCGGATTAGTAGTTCATCATTATTAAGCAATAGAGGCACAAAAATATTACTCACATTTTTGTCATATATTTTATCAGAACTGAAAAAAGATAAAAAGAGAATAAGGGGAGTGAAGCTTATCACAAAATAGTTACACATTATATAGATACTAAGAAATTATAACATTGATATGAGGAACAGAAGCAAAATTACTTCTCCTCTCTCTTTTCCCTCACCCTACTGCAGTTCTCTACATGAAGCTGTTCAGGTACCCTTACCTGTTCACTACACACAGGTATGCCACTCACTGATAATACATTAGGGTGCCATCACTTACACACCTATAGAATCATACCACACTCATTTTATATATACTACTGACTCTCTTTTGCCATGTAATGTTGATATTTTCTCAAGAATATAGATATTACTTCTATCAAAATTCAGATGGAACTTTAAAACTGTTTCTTCAGTCAGGCATGGTGGCTCACACTTGTAATCCCAGCACTTTGGGAGGCCGAGGCGGGCAGATCACAAGGTCAAGAGTTTGAGACCATCCTGGCCAACATGGTGAAACCACGTCTCTACTAAAAATACAAAAAAATAGTTGGGCATGGTGGCGGGCGCCCATATTCCCAGCTACTTGGGAGGCTGAGGCAGGAGAATCGTTTGAACCTGGGAGGCGGAGGTTGCAGTGAGCCAAGATTGTGCCATTGCACTCCAGCCTGCGCAACAGGGTGAGACTCCGTCTCAAAAAAAAAAAAAAAAAAAAAAAAAAGTCTGTTTCTTCATAGAATCTAAACAACCACCTATGATTATTTAAAAAGATATCCTGAAAATTAACCTCCCACTCCCCCAAAATCTGAAACAAATTTAAGCTAATTTTAAAACAAATTAAGTAAAATAATTTCCTTTTGAAATCTTGGGATGCCTTATTATGCTCTCTTCTTATCATGCATCTGTTTCTACAAGTTATTTTCTTTTTATACCAAATTTAGTTTACTTTTATATAAAGATCTCACTTCTCTGATTCATTTTCGAGAAGCCACCTCCTTCTTTCTTAAAAATCAGCCACTGGTTTTACGCAAAATAGAATCATGTGCTTTTTTCTCTTAGCATTAACAAAGATGTTTAGAAGTTCTGTTACATGGCTATTAATTCTACCTCTAACTAGGACCCAAACAATCAATTGCCCACAAATCAGGACAGGTTTAGTTGATATATGTAGTAAGTCAACAAGATCCTTGCAGGAGTTTTGATTAAACACAAAACTAAGAATTACATTGCTTTATTTATTTCAAACAGCTTCTTCTATATTATCAAAGTTTTTTAGTTTGTTTTTACTTTTTTTTTTTTTTTTTTGCAATCTTTTCTGCAATTTTCCACCATATTAGGCTATTTGACCTATCGGTAACAACTCATTGGCGTAGTTTTCTCACTCATCTGTGGATTCAACTATGTGGCAGTTGGCACCCTCAACCCACTGCATACAGTTTCCAAAATATCACAAAAATAATTACCTTTAACTCTCTTCCTTCTGCCCTACCTAACAATGATGAAGGGGCTTAAAATTAATTGCGGTAGTTGCAGTTAAAAATTGTTAACAAAATTGTTTTTATCACACTTTTCTCCAAAACATGAATGTGGAAACAGTATAATGTATAGTTACTCTTTGGCATCTACCTCTGTGCCTCCATTTAAATTGTGTACCTGTCCCAGATCTGTCTCTGGAGCTTTATGATCCCTTAGCAACATCATACAGCTGCCTCTGTTGGGATTAGAGAACCAATGGGACCATTCCATGTGGTTCCTGTGATTTGTCTGAACACAATTCCTTGCACTAAAACAAATAGGCTTGTAAGACAAAATGTAGCATTTGGATGCAATTCCTATTGTTTTATAGGAAAATCATTTATTGAGTTACTCTGCAGACTCAGGAGTGTAATAGGTGCTGGGGGTTATGAATGAGATATTCCCTTCTGACCTCTAGGAGCTCACAGTACAAAATAAAAATATATTGTGTCACAAAACAATTTGGTCCTTTGAGCACCAATGTTAAGTAAGACCTTATACAGGAAATTAGTGAAATGAACATGAAACTTGTCTTTTAGGAGTACATAATCAAATAGGAGAGAGTAAGCAAAAAGGTAAATAAAGCTGAAAATGACAAGTAACACCAGTGAGGCATAAAGTGCACTAACGTTGAGAGCAGGAAATCTCGGAGCTAAACTGCTATTTTAATAAATAATAATTGTAAAAGGTTATCAGAAAAATTTTAATGAGAAGATTCATGTAGAAAGAAATATTCTAAGATAAGTAATCAAATGATTTTCCAATGTGTGTCAAAATAACAGGATACGATGTACTTGGTGTACATGAAATTGAAACACATTTGCATATCATCTGATCTGCAGTTTTTTGCAGGCTTTTGTTGAAAGTTGACAGAAGCCTTCCAGGTGTCAGTGTTTTCCCCAGATATATTTTCCATTCCCACATCTCCACACAGTGAGAATGACATTATATGCTAAAATGACATTGTCAAATTTTAGTTTAAAAAGGATCCTTATGAATCTGCCAAATACTTTTAACTCCAGATATAACTTCCATCAGCAAATGTAACATGAAAAATAAATATGGGACTGGGTTTCACAGGCCATGTGTTGAACATTTGGGAATATTCATCTTCCAGAGAGTTCCATGTTAGTGCTCTTCTGTGGTTAAAACGTGGATGTTGTGCTCTAAAATAATGTGTGGTACCTTTCTAAAGAACAGGATTTAGTTAATAACTAAATCACAATGTGAAAAGGAGGGTTGGTATTACATGGTAAAGCTGTTTGTGTTTTAAAGCAATTCATGGTTCATACTTTGCTTTTCTTTTGCTGTCTTATACAGTTAAAGTTTATTTTCTCAGTGTTTGTTTTACTTTATCCAACAAGAATTCAGACCCCTTCAAGTTTAGTACAGTAGTCCCCCCTTATCTGTGGTTTCAGTTTCCATGGTTTCAGTTACCTGTGGTCAACCACAGTCCGAAAATATTAAACGGAAAATTCCAGAAATAAATGATTCCCAAGTTTTAAATTGTGTGCCATTCTGAGTAGCATGATTAAATCCTGTGCCATCCCACTCTGTCTCACCCGGGATGTGAATCATCCTTTCTCCAGTGTATCCATGCTGTATATACTACTTGCCCCTTAGTCACTTAGTAGCCATCTTTGTTATCAAATCAACTATCACACTATTGCAGTGCCTGTGTTCAAGTAACCCTTATTTTACTTAATAGTGGCCCCAACCCACAAGAGTAGTGATGCTGGCATATTGTTATAATTGTTCTATTATATTACTAGTTATTGTTAATCTCTTACTCTGACTAATTATAAATTAAACTTTATCATGGGGTATGTGTGTATAGGAAAAAATCATAGTATATAGAGGGTTTGATACTATCCTCAGTTTTAGACATTTACTGGGGGTCTTGGAACATATCCCTTCTTGGATAAGGAGGGAATACTGTATTGGATTGTCTTTGACTTCTCTACTGAAAGAAGGTCTTCTTCCCCACCCTTTGAACCCAAGTAATTCCTACTTAAGACTGAACAAAAATGAAACTCAAAGGAATACAGAGTCAATACCAAATATTTTATGAGCAAAAGATGGGTGCAGGCTATGGAAGAATAGACTTGGGGCTACATATTAAAAGCTGCTAATCATTCTAAAGACAGACCCTGAAAATCTGTCAACAAGGAAGCTGAAAAGCTGTCATCCTGGGAGGTATCCAAAATTGGAATGAGGAAATTCACACAGGTATCCGGAGACAAGAACCAGGGTTCAGACCTAGGGCAACTCGGCACATTCTGCCAAACCCTTCCTCCTCACCCAGCACTGTTTCCGTCGGTCACCAGCATGTTCCACTGCTTTCACTCCATAGCATCACAAAGGTGTCATTCAGTCTTGAACATACCTCATCCTTTAAGGCTCTGCTCAGAACTACACTCCACCCTGATTCCTTACCTTAAGTTCCTAATGATCTTTCTATTTTGACTTCCTGTGTCATTTTCAGGTCTGTTCTGCACAATGGAAATGAGTGTATAACCATTTGTGCTGCTAAATAAACGTGGAACACAACAGTTAATAAAAAGAGATTGAAAGACAGCCTTAGAAAATCTAAGGTGAAGCTGGGCAGAAAATAAAGGTCAGGCGTGTGAGTGGGCCAGGCCCAGTGATAGCTCAGTTGCAGGTAATGCCAAAGTTAAGCCTGGAACTAATGAAGCCTTCTACAAAAGAAATACTTTTAAAATACTGATGCTAAATGCTAAGGTCAAAGCAACAGTTCAGAACCAACAACTTAGACAAGGCCAAGAAGGCAGGAAAGTACTGAATATTTGAGCAGCAACAGAATGGGGATCCAGAGAAATTCCAAGAAGTCAACTTTCAGATTTGTGTAAAGGATAAATGACACTGTGTATCTAAAGTAATTCTCCCATTCCTTTACTTCGGCAGCCTCACTCTTTCCCATCTCCCCCCAGAATCTTCGCTTTTGACCTCTCCCAAGGAACCTTTCTTATCTGAGTCCTATTTAATGTAAGCCATATCCTAGTAGAGGCCACTGAACATCCCATGGCCTTCTTATATCCACAATGGGGCAGTAACCCCCTGGAGGCAGAGATATTTTTATTCTTCTGCTCCTTATTCACAAACCTAATCTAGAAAAAACGAATGTAGAAAAGCAAGGGATTTTTGCTGTTTTAAAGTCAGGTTATTTTTTAAGTAGTTAGTTAGTTGGTTTGTTTGTTTTTTGAGACAGGGTCTCACTCTGTCCTCCAGGCTGCAGTGCAGTGGTGTGATCATGGCTCACTGCAGCCTTGACTTCCTGGCTCAGGTGATCCTCCTACCTCAGCCTCCACAGTAGCTGGGACTACAGGCACACACCACCATGCCTAGCTTTTATGCAGTATTAAGGTATTATTGGACACATTATTTATAAAGGAATGAATATCTCCATTATTTTCAGCTCAGTCCTTCCTATGCTTTGATTTGTCTAGTTGCCTTTATTGTGCTTCATAGATGCCTGTCCTAGCATGACCCCCTGCAGAGTTATCACACAACTGTTTTTGAATAATTAAAAAAACTGTAAACATTTGTTTCACATATTCCACACTTATCCCCCACCTGCAGCCACTAGTTGGCATTTCGTTCTCCTTTGAAATAGAAATTTTTGGTCCACAGAGGCTTATCAGAGTGAAACACACTTTCTTTGCTAGTGCATTCAGAGAGCGAGATCAGCAGTAACTCGCCTGTTATTTTTTTTTTTTTTAGAAATTTTATGGCACTGCTCTAAAACCCAATAAAACTATTAATGGTCATACAAAAGTAAAACATTTAATTTTAAATTTTGATTACCTTTTAGTGAATTATAAATACAAAGTGTTCAACCACAAATAACACACATTACAAATAAAACAAGTAAGTAAATTAAAATTGTAAACAAATAAATGGATAAAACCCAAAAGTCAGTCAATGCTAGAGGAATAGGAGAAAACAAACTGTGTTAAGCTTTGTGGAGCTCTGCTCTAGTTCTGCTCCTGCTTGCTACAGATATTCTCTTAATGGTCCCCTGAAACTCTTTATTTTAATAATCGAACACCAAAAGTTGTTTAGCAGCATGTGTGGCCACAAATCTAAGAAAGTACATTCCATGCAGCTAGGTATGGCGAGTTTCAGCCCTTGATATATGACTGTAAGTAGTGTGTGACAAATCTTTGGACTTCAATCTTTGGTGACACTCTCTATTCCCCTTACCCCATTCCTATGGGTTGGAACATGATCATGGTACTAGTGACCATGTAGACAAGGACAACTGATGCAACTGACATTAAGGAGAAGAACTCGTCTATTACTGTGTCTGTAGCAAAAGAGATACATAAATATTAATCTTATTTAAGTCATTGTACTAAAAGGTTCCCATTGTTTCAGCAACTTAGCTTTTACCCTAAACAAAACATCCACCAATATTTATCCAGGACTCATAAAAAAATTATCTCCTTCTGCCTTATCTTAGCTCCAACCCAACTGTCTGAAAGTGTCCAAACACTCCTCCCTACTGGCGATGGAAAACTAGCTCTGGCTATATTAACTGGGGTGAGAAAACCAATATAGTTCTCCCTGTATCTAAGCTTAAGTTCCCAAGACAACTAGAGGCCATCAACTTTCAACAACATATCACTTATTGTCCTAGTCAGGACTCTTTTCAAGACAAAAAAAAAAAAAAAAAACAGTGACCCCACTTATAGGATATAAGCTGAGGAAGCTTCATACAATGCTAGAGATCCACAGAAACCATAGCATGGTACCAACATGAGTCATGGGAACTGAAACCATTGAAGAACTGAGACAACTCAGTTACCTCTCAAGATTCATGTGCTTTCTAGCTTCTACTTCTCTCTGCACAATTTTTCTTTCCTCTTCCTTCTCTTTGCAGACCAGTTTTCTTGTAAGGGTGTCACCAGTTACATAGGGCTGCCCATTACCAGTGCTACATAGGGAATAGGATCTCAAAGAAAAGGATTATGGGCAAGGATGGTCCAAAGCACGTCGTCCAAAGATGTTAAGCTCTTAAATCTCTTTGCTTTGTTCTTAGCAGGACTCTCCTTTGATACTTTTCCTTTGCCACGGTGAAAATTCAATCTTCCTGTGGGAAGATCTTTCTAGGTCTCTTGGTTCTCTGCCTCCCTGATTCTGTGAAACCCAAAGAAGTCAAGCTCTGTGCCCAGGCCTTGAGCTAACAAGAACACCATCTCCGAAAACCATCTCAGTCTTTCTCCAGCATTCTACCCTGGTAGCTTCTCATCCTCCTGTGATCACCCTCATTTTTCATCCATCTAATGTTTTGGTTACTGATTTTTATCTGTACCTGATACTACTGCCCACACAGAATGTATAATGGGGGCCAAAGAACCATTCACCCTGGATCTTACTCAATAGACTGCAAAATAAACTTCCAATAATCTCTCCATATTAGTTTATACATGCAGTCTCTGGTATACATTTAAGATCTTATTTATAATCAAACTTTAATAGCTCATTATCAGATACCGTATTGCATATCATAAATTACTTTTTAAATATAACCCCATATAATCTTATAAATAACACAATTATATTGCATTGTAATTTATGTACAGTAGACCTCTGTTAGCCATGGTTTTGCTTTCCATGGTTTCAGTATCACAGTCCAAGAGTCTTAAATAGAAAATTCCGGAAATAAACAATTAATACATTTAAAATTGCACACCATTCTGAATAGTGTGATGAAATCGCATGCCGGCCTGTTCTGTCCCACCCAGGACATGAATCATCCATTAACCAGTGTATCCACACTGTATATGCTACCTGCCTGTTAGTTACTTAGTAGCCATCTGGGTTATTATATCAAAACTACGGGCCGGGTTCGGTGGCTTATGCCTGTAATCCCAGCACTTTGGGAGGCTGAGGCGGGCAGATCACAAGGTCAAGAGATCGAGACCATCCTGGCCAAAATGGTGAAACCCTGTCTCTACTAAAAATATAAAAATTAGTTGGACATGGTAGCGCACGCCTGTAGTCCCAGCTACTCGGGAAGCTGAGGCAGGAGAATTGCTTGAACCTGGGAGGCAGAGGTTGCAGTGAGCCGAGATCACGCCACTGCACTCCAACCTGGGCAACAGAGCGAGACTCCTCCGTCTAAAACAACAACAACAACAACAACAACAACCAGTATATATATTGGGCTTTGTACTATCTTTGATTTCAGGCATCCACTGGGAGTCTTAGAACATATCCCCTGCAGGTTCCCACTATATTAAGAGGTTACTACTGTATTAAAAGTACTCGTTTTTGTTTTTTGTTTTTTGTTTTTTTTTGAGACGGAGTCTCGCTCTGTCGCCCAGGCTGGAGTGCAGTGACGCAATCTCGGCTCACGGCAAGCTCCGCCTCCCGGGTTCACGCCATTCTCCTGCCTCAGCCTCCCCAGTAGCTGGGACTACAGGCGACCGCCACCGCGCCCAGCTAATTTTTTGTATATTTAGTAAAGAGGGGGTTTCACCATGTTAGCCAGGATGTTCTCTATCTCCTGACCTCGTGATCCACCCACCTCGAAAAGTACTCTTTCTTATGTTATAATATTAACACCTGGTTTGGGCTTAAAAAAAAAAAAATAGTGTTCCAGAAAAGAAAGGAGAGAAGGGAGAAGAGGAAAGCGGAGGGAGATCCAAGTTTTGCTGGACCTCTGAAAGGCCCTGACCTGGCTTCAGTTCCCAGCTTCCCACTTGGGTTTTATCTCGAATGAAGTTTGTGAATGCAGAGAAATGAGGGAAAGATAACCAGTAAGTGGACAACACTAGAAAGACTGGCCAGAGAGGTACAGAGGACGGAGATTTCTTTCAAGTGGAAAGGGAAGGAGTGGTTTCAAGGAGGATGTGGTATTTAAGTTGGCTTCACTATATATTATATTTTATGTAATGTGAGTGACACAAGCGTGGGAAAGTGAGAAATAGGAGAGAAAAAAGAGAGAGAGCGAGGAACATGGAAAAGCATGGGGAAGAGAAGAAAGTCGTTTTACAGCCTATGTTCAATAAACAAACGACACAGTGATCACAGTCAGACACAGCAGCTTCTCTGAAGCCCTCTCCTCTCTCAAATATTCCACAAATTACAATCTTCTATTTCTAGAGATTCATTTCTAGGGAACTAAGCAAAGCTCTCAATAGGGGTATATATTTGGTCTATACTAGTTACTAGAAACTCAGTATCAGTTGACTTACATGACTGAGAAGGCAGGGACTAAGATACAAAGTATGCAGGTGAGTGTGGATAGGGCAGGGCACCAAGTTGTGCATAGAAGCCCCACTTGGGAGGCACTGCTGGGAAAGACATCCTAGGTGGGGAAGTGGAGCATGGGTGGAGCTTGGTGGGCAAGGGTGGGCAACACGGACACTAGCTTATATGGTTTGGCTCTACGTCCCCACCCAAATTTCATCTTGTAGCTCCCATAATTCCCACGTGTTGTGGGAAGGACCCAGTAGGAGATAACTGAATCATGGGGTGGGTCTTCCCTTGCTGTTCTCGTAAGTCTCACGAGATCTGACAGTTTTAAAAACGGGAGAGAGAGCACAAGTCCTCTCTCTCTTTTCCTGCCGCCATCCACCTAAGATGTGACTTGCTCCTTGCCTTCCACCATGATTGTGAGGCCTCCCCAGCCATGTGGAAATGTAAGTCCATTAAACCTCTTTCTTTTGTAAATTGCCCAGTATCTGGTATGTCTTTATCAGCACCATGAAAATGGACTAATACACTAGCTGTGTCACACACAAGAGTAAGAATATGATAAAGTGCCCATTTTTTGCTACATGACTATTTTGCTCAGAGCCATCCAGGAAAGAAAGAAAATAAGAAAGGGAATTGAGGTTATGGAATGCCAAAATAAAAAGACCATGAAGGCAGGAAGTTTGTCTAATTTGTGCTTGCTTTATCCCAGAGCTCAGAACAGTGCCTGACACTCAAATAGGTTTTAAGCATATGAACAAATGCCTACCTGGTGATAGGCCTTGTGCTTGGGACTTTACCTGCATTAGCTCATTTAAGTCTCACACATCAACACAGATGAGGAAATCGAGATACAAAGAGTAAGTGTCTTGCCCTAGGTCATCCAGCCAATGAACAGCAGTGCCAGAATTCAAATCCTAGCCTAATTGACTAAAGCCAGTGCTATTAACCACCATGAAATGCTTCTTCACTAGACAGGAAACCAGACGATGACTATAGCATACAGTAATCTGAGTTTGGCACAACTCACTGTGATGATAGCATCATTCAGATACAAACTGGAGGAACCAGTTTTAAAGAAGGGTGAGGGGATGCAGAATATTAAGGGAAGCTGAGTGGTCAGGCTGACTCTATGTTATGGTATCAAATTTGGCTTGCCTGAATTTTAATTAGGACAAGAAATATTTCAAAGCACAAATGAGAAGTTATTTTCATCTCTGCTTCTCTCTTTAATTCAGAGTTCTCTAGAAGAAAAACAGGAAATGTTCCTATATTAAGCAAGTGGTATCAAAATCTATCATATCAGTATTGAAAAGCACCAGGTAATTTCTTAGATTCAGAAACCTCAATTTATCCCTAATGAAATACTAAGAAGGCTGCAATAACCAATTACTCAGAAACATTTTGGTGTTTCTTTGGCTGACTTAAACTGAATTATTTCTATATCCAACTGTTTCTATTAGTCATCACAAACTCAAAGACATTAGTTTATTCTGGTACTTTAAAAAATAATACACAATAGAAAAACAAAAACATAGGATGAATAAATGGGAGGAAATATATATCAATTAGTACCATTCATTTTTTATTCATTACTATGGTATTGAAGGACTTTGGCAGGTGACATTGTATATCCAGGCTACTAAGTCTATTTCTGAATGTTTCTACTGCATACCAGAGAAGAGTGAGGCAACAGAGACCAAACTGCCAGCCTTGGACCAGCTAGTAAAGAACGGAAATGAGTCATCCATTTTTCACCCACACTCTTGAAACTAAACCTGAAAAGGAAAAAAAGTTTGATACAAAATAGAACTTGTTTATTCCCCTATCCACATTTGCTAGAACAGTGCCTAGCATAAATGTTTATGGAATAGATGGTTTAATAAATATTTGTTGAATGAATAAACAAGTGAATTTTTTTTTTCTATTTTTCCCTCAAGCTACGAATATGCAGGAAGGCAAGAAAAAGAGAATAATGCTGATTGCCCACAGAACTCGTTTGCTGAGACTACAGACAGTTTTGTAGTCAAGATCCGCTTAGACAAGTAATAGGCATTTTAAACTTAACATACCTGGAGTAGAACTTCTAATTTCCTCCCTTATAAATTGTTCTCCCCCAGTCTTCTCTCAGTAAATGCATTTCCACTTCACGAGCAGCTCAAGGCAAAATCCTAGGGGAGATGCTTGATTCCTCTCTTCCCCTTGTTCTCTATATCCAAACCCTCAATATGTAGACCCTACTCCCAGAGTGTATCCAGAATCTAATTACTATTTCCAGTACTACCATGCTAATCTCACCACCATTGTCAAACACCTGCACTACCACAAAAACCTCTAACTTGTCTCTCCTCTTCTAAGTTTGCCCCTCTGCAATTTAATCTTCATCCAGATGAAAATGTGATCATTTTGAATCATGCATATTCTTTCCTTTCTCTCCTTATAATGCTGAAATCGCTTCCTGTTGTACTTAGAACAAAAGTCCAATCTGTCTCCTCTCTATCACTCTGACCTCATCTTCTGCAACACTGTCCCTTCTGTTGTCACCATGCTGGTGTTCTTTTTTCTTTTTGAACATACCATGCTCTTTCCCATCTCAAGGACTTTGCACTTGCTGTTTCTCTGTATGGAATGCCTTTTCTCCAAATCTTGACGTGGTGGAGTCCTCATCATTCAGGTTTTAGCACAAATACCTCCTTATCTAGGATGCCTTCCCTGACTAAAGCTGACCCTCTCTGCAACATCCACACACAAGGTACATTCTATCACATCACCCTGTTTTATTTTCGTCTTAGAACTTAACACTATCTGAAATTAGTTGATAAATATGTGTGCTTACTTCATTCATCTGTGTCTCCCAATGAGGATGTAATTTTGAAAAAGTAAGAATCTTATTAGTCTTGTTCTTCGTTACATCTCTTGGACTACAGTGAATATTTATTGAAAGAATGAATGTTTTCTGAAAGTCCTTGAGCAGTTTTTGTGGTTGGTTTTGATACTTTGTTGAGTGTTAATTGTTCATTATGTCATTATGTTAAAGGTCTCTGCAATTAGGATACAAAGTATAATTGAGACTGAGTCATTTTCTATTGGTTTTAGAGCAGAATCTGACAGTCCTCTCTTGGGAAAACACTTTTAAACTGCCACTATATCACAGAACCAATTCTGACATATCTATATCAAAAACTAATTTCCTCAATTCTGTGTGTATGGCATCCAAATTTTTTTTCTAAATATTACCTACATTTGGCATGGTCATCATAGCTAAATGATTATTTCAACCACACTTTTTCTGCTGCTTCTCTACCTTCCTTTTCATTTTTACATATATTGGTGATTTCCTAAATGTAAATGGTTGAGTTTAAATGCCAGCAGGGGGTAAAAAAAAGAAATTCTTTGCAAAGGTAGAGAGATTTGTTACTCAGCCAAGTGCTTCTTCAGTAGCTAAGTTCTCATTAGAAAGCTAACTTTTCAGAGTAGCTCAGAGGTGTCATTTAGAATTATTTCATTTTACCAAGCTAGCATGAAATCTCATGACACCCTGAGGCTACTTGTCCTGGAGTGTCACAAAATGACACTCTGTCCCAATCACCACTAAATAATATTAACTCCTAAGCCTGATCTTCAAAGTCTAAGAATACAGCCCACATACATCCAAGGAGAGGGTTTTTTTTCCTAAAAATGATTTTAAATGGTTTTTAGCTTATTGCAATAACCTAGCCTTCATATTTAAATTAGTTGCATTAGAGAGCTATTTGTCATTGCAAACAAAGCTGCATTTGTAGCTTTGGATTCATTTTACAGTACCCGTCATTTGTCCACCTGGCCTTCTACTTGTACACAAATCACAGCATAACTCTGACAAGATATGGTTGTTTTATTTGATTGTTTTAAGTTTTTAAGTTGGAGAGAAGGATCATAACATAACCTAAAAAGGAAGTATATAAATCCTAAAGAAGAAAAATTAAAAGATTTAGATATCCAAGAAAAAATAAAAATTAAAAAGAATCACAGCTATTCAAAAAACAATTCTTCAAAAATAAGAGTTAATAAAATAAGAATTTAAAAGCAATATCATATGTGATACAGAAAACTTGACTATATTATTCATTTTCCAATTCTGTTCAAATGCTAAGTTTTGCAATAACTTACTAATATGAGAAACAAGTGGGCACTAAAGCAACACTGAGATTATTCATTTATACTAGATAATGAAGTAGCAATGTCAAAAATTTCAAGTTACCAGTTAGAGGAGTCTTAAATGGCACTTGCTCCAAGACATGTCTTATTACTTAACATGAGAAATATGAAGACAGAAGACAATAGAGCAGCTTCAAGAACTTTTAAATCTATTTTGAAAAAACACATGTAAAGCCACATAGCCTAAGTGACAAATTAGTGCAAGAGATACTAAATTTTTGAGAGTGTGAACAAAAACTTTATATTACTTTTCCAACCTAAAATATTATTCAATAAAAACTCTATATGAAGTGTACCTTGCTCAATGTCTATCAATATTAATATTTTTAAAAATTAAAAACAGCAACCTTTATTTAGGAATTTATCCTATAAATATGCATCCACCTGGGTACAAAGATAAATAGTTTTAAATGCTGACTGCTGAAAATGTTCATCACTGAAAAGCATGGAAACAGCCTAGATTTCTGACAATAACATACTGAATACACTAAATATATTTATCCAAATAATGTAATACTCTGTAGTAATTTTTAAAGTGAATTAGAATTATAATTTATTGTTATCAAATGTCTAAGAAATACTAAGTTTAAAAGTAAGTTGTCAAACTAAGTATAATTTATTAATCTAAGGATATGTAAAGGTAAATGGTTTTTTATACATAATGGATCATTAAATTTGGCTTATTTTACTGTGAATGCATAGAATGTTTCTGGAAGACACATCTGAAATTAATGTCAGTTATATCCGGGGAGGAACCTATGAGACAAGCAATCAAGGGAGAAAAAAAGTTATTTTCATTATATCACTTTTTTTTAATAATTTAGACTTTTGATCAGGGCACGCATTTGTTTATCAAAAGAAAATGTAAAATATAATGGATAGAAAATTTTAAAATACTGTCTGTATCTTCCTCGTTCATTAAAAAACCCCGATTTCAGTATGATCCAAACTGAGTAGTTGTGACAACTTCTCATTTGAGAATAGAAGTTTATTTGATGGCTTCTTAAAAATTTACTGAACTTTGAAAAAAGTAATTATTGTAACAATGTCTCCCTAAACCGTGCTTTTTCCTGAGCATGACCAGTTTTGTTTTATTGAATTTTGTACATACATACAGATGTGGTGATATAATGGAATTTATTTTTCTTGGAAAGAAACATATATTGAAACAAGGCCATGGTTGACAATGTCTTAGCATTAATTGATTTTTTTCTTATGGTTTCTAACCATATCCTCTACCGAAATATTTTCTACAGTTTCTGTATCTTATAAGTTTCTTTTTAAGGGAGTAATGATTTTCAAACACTCAAATATTATTTATAATAATCAAATAGTTATATGTTAAGAAAGCAAAAATTAAAACCTAAAGAAGTGTTAGCCATTATTATGATACATTGAATAATATTTTTTCATGTTATTATGGCTGAGTTCTGGCTGTGAGAATAAGCCACAGCTGCTTTCTTCAGACACTAAAGAAAAAAAGTATCTAAAGAAAAAAATGTAGTGATTACACATTGATTCAGAGTTTAGTTAATGAAGTGGTTAAAAGGAAACATCATCTGAGAAATATTCTACTTTAATAATATTTTCACAAACAATAAATACTGTATTTATTTGCAAACATTAAAAGCAAAGCTAAAGGGAAAAATAAAAAATTGAACTAATCTAGGCAACTGACTTTCAGACAAATATTTGTAATGACATTTCCTGAGGCTATACCTATTTAAACTAAGTTATTCAGTGTTGGCGGTATAGTGGCCTTCCAATAAATTATTCAAACAATTCAAGTATTTTTAAAATCTCTGTTTTTTTGAATAGCCAGTGAATAAAATTTAAAGCATTTGAGCTTGGTTAACAGGATATATTCCATATATTTCTTTGACAAATGGAGACAAAAAAAAGCAGGCAACAATAAAATGCTCAGTTTTCAGTCTGTTAATACTTCAAAGTATGAACTGGAAAATAATACAAATCAGCACTTATTGTGGGAATGCAGTTCTGTTTAAAATAATTACTCTTGAATTTTTGTGGTAAAGAGTGAATCTGGACACTCTAAATTTTGTGGTAAAGAGTGAATCTGGACACTCTAAAAATTCACAATCCAATAAATGAAATATACTTGACAATCCCTCTGGGAGAGTATATTAGGCAAACTCTGACTTCTGTACTTGCCTTAGGCTCCTATTAAAGGTCAAACAAGTATAGAATTAGGTTGATGGTTCAAAACTATAGAAACTTTTCTAAGTACCACGATTAGAAAAGAGCAAACAGAAATTTTCTCTAAATTGGAAGATGCTATTTTGTGTCACTGTCACCCGAATTCTTAGAGCAAATCCTACTGGAAGATGAGGGCAGTTATTTAATATGTTGTATCAGCCAGGTGCCGTGACTCATGTCTGTAATCCCAACACTTTGGGAGGCTGAGGCAGTAGGATTACTTGAGCCCAGAAGTTCAAGACCAGCCTGGGCAACATGAGACCCTGTCTCTACAAAACATTAAAAAATTAGTTGGGCACGGTGGTGTGCACCTGTCCCAACTATTCAGGAGGCTGAGGCAGGAGGACCACTTAAGCCCAGGAGTTTGAGGCTGCAGTCAGCCATGATTGCACCACTGCACTCCAGCATGGGCAATAGAGCAAGACCCTGTCTCAAAATAACAATAACAATAATAATAAAATGTTGTATGAAATATTTTTGGAAGGAATGGAAGAAGGGAAGGAGTTACTTTATAAGCCTCATAGTTTCTCTAAGACACAAGAATATTTATCCTAACACATAAAATAACTACAATCAGAATCTTCATAAAAAGGGCCTGTCCTAGGCAACATTGCTAAGTCACAAATTTACCTTCTAACACTCTTTACCACCCTCTCTACACACACTTCATCAGTGGCCTTTCCCCTACTAGGATCTTTTCCCTGTAAGATATGATTTCTACCACATGTCAACTAAGATGATAAGTAAAATGTCTATTAATATAGCTTGGTGGTTACTTAGGCATTGACATTTTATTTTTGGACATTTGAATACAAAATGGCCCACAGATCCAAAGGCAGGAAGCTGTAATTCGCTCACACACTATAGCAGACATTATCAGTGCCCTGCTCATGGCCCCTCAGCACTTGCAGGTTTTATACCGTCTACAGCTTCTCACTGCAAACACCTCGGACTGTCTGCCTAAAGGCTTTCTGTCCTATAGGAGTGAGCTCAGGAAGGAAGTAATAGACAGTTGACTGTCCTCAGCAGCAGCCTTCACCCAATAAAATATGGGAGTTCAACATCATTGCTCAGAGATCCCCAGTAGAAATGAGCCCCATTGGCCCACAGTGGTAAACTACTCATTAGGGTCCCCTTTTCTGTATTCCTTTCTCCTTTTTTCTTGTCTCACTTCACTCTTCTAATGGGGCTTCCTGGGCTTACCTTCCAAATAAACTACTTGTACTTGAACCCTTATTTTAGGGTCTGCTTTCAATGGAACACAACCTAAGATACTCATTCATTCTTTACATAAGAACATTTATTTAGCTTATTCTAGGGACTGAGAAATGTAACTGGCAATGAGAATGGAATATGGATCTTAAGAAGAAGTAAGTGAATATTGTCAACCAGGGAGCTGTGTTTTGCATTCCTCAAACTTACCTCATACAAAAGACCACATCCTCCATCGCCTTCTATAACTAGCTCTGTTCATTATTGCTCATGCTTTTCTTCAGTCAAAATTAGTCATATACTGAAGATTACTTTGAGCTGCAAGAATTGTTTTTAAATCAAGTCATGTTTGGTTCTCATCTCTCTCAGCACCTTTAATACTTCAACCCACTCATTCAATTTGACCATTTTAATTCTTATTTTCTCTTTCACCTCTGCAACATTCTTTTGGCTGTTCTTAATGCAAAGCAATGTATCACATCACAGTAGCCAATATGACTCTGTCCCTGTTTTCTCATATCCAAAAATTCCTTTATTCATCTTCATGCTTTCCCCAAGGAAGTAAAAAGCAGTTTCCCAATATTTAGCCACCTTTAAATGTTTCATCCCAGTTCCAGCATATCATAATATTACAATTTAATACACAAACAGTCTGGAGTTAGAGATTATTATCTTTTGTTTCACAGATTAGAAAACTGTGACTTTTTGCCTCTAAAGTTATGACATTTCTACGTATTCTACTGTACTCATCCCATGATCATACACAAAGAACTTAAATGCATTTTTTCATGCTCTTCTTGCTCATTCCTGAGAGTCTGTAAAATGCTCAGCATCCAAATATTTATACTGGCATTTGAAGAATCATATGCTTATATTTGATTAACACTGACCAATTGTTAAGAATATCTTCAAATGATATTTTTATTGATGAGCTATATTTCTTGTGAGTCAGACTTATTAAAGAAGTCTCTTTTCTAAATTCAGGTAATAATTCATGCAAAAAATACCTTTCTTTAAACAAAATACTTTTTACCTGGGAAATGTTCCAATGGCTCATCTGCCAGTTAACGTCTCTGTTTCCGCCACTAAAATTTCCCTTCAAGTATCTGCATTCTTGGCATCCTGACAAGGCCACCTCCTCCATCTGTGAGTTCATGCATCACACTGGTACCTGAGGAAATGCTTATGTAGTAATTTTTTCTTTGAGAAAAACACTTTGCTTTTAGCTTGTACTTTTGCAGGTTATTTATTTTCAGAGATTCCCCAAAATAGTACATATTTTAACCTTTCTACTTGTAAGGATGTTACCCACTGGCAAGCCAGTGGTACCAAAAGAAAAAGACCCTAAGGGAATGTGCTGAGCCTGTCAGGTATGGGATATCTAGCACATTCCAAGGAGGAAAGGCTAGTGGACATCTTGTTTCAGGTCCAAATCTTGTCTCTGTAAGTAGTAGTCATTTTGCCAAAGTGATTATTTGAAAATACTCCAGTTCAATTCACTAGTAACAAACCCATCATATTGTGTAGATTTAAGTTCATGCTTTATTTCAGCTGTGTGAAGATACTGCAACAGCTTTGAAAAAGCAAATAGCCAAAGTAAAAATGGAGGAGAAAATGGAAAGAATAGGCACTTAAGTTTTTCATAAATCTAAAAGGATCCCAGATAATGAAGAATTCGATTTATTTGCTTCCTAGATTTGGTGCTCAAAATGACTGGAAACAGGAGAACATCTGTCTGTGATTCAGTAGTTCCAGATTAAAGGAAGGCACTTCCTTTAGAAATGATCATTCAAAATGATTCAGAAAAGAATGGAATATTTTTAGTAAGTCATTTACTCAAAACACTTTGGTGGGACTGCTGGAAGAGCAAATATCAATTTATTCCCAGAGGACATGGCTAAATAGTCAGGAATGAAATAAAGACTATGCCATTTGAGACTAAATATGAAAACAAGAGCAAGGAGTAACATAAGAACATGTTTTTGCCTCACAAATAAAAACCATCCAAAGGGAAGCCAGGATTGAACAGTAGAGTAAATATAAGAAATAAGTAAGAACTGAGAGCAGGCATATATGGTCACTAATCTACTAAGGGAAGACTCTCTATTATTGCTATATAGGGTAGACATATGACCTTTAAATTTTTATTAACAGAATCAGAAGAGAGCCTCATGCAGGAAATACACACTGTAGGCCATATCCAACTTTCCTTTCTCCCAGTACCATTTTAGCAAGTCGCTAAGATGTTTTTACTTTAAAAGTTCTTTTTTGTTCGTTTGTTTGTTTGTTTGTGACAGTCTTGCTCTGTCGCCAGGGCTGGAGTGCAGTGGTGTGATCTCGGCTCACTGCAACCTCCGCCTCTCAGGTTCAAGCGATTCTCCTGCCTCAGCCTCCCAAGTAGCTGGGACTACAGGCGTGCGCCACTATGCCTAGCTGATTTTTTTTTATATTTTTAGTAGAGATGGGGTTTCACCATGTAGGTTGGCCAGGATGGTCTCGATCTCTTGGCCTCGTGATCCACCCGCCTCGGCCTCCCGAAGTGCTGGGATTACAGGTGTGAGCCACCACGCCTGGCCTGAAAGTCCTTCTTAATGGCTTAGTATTATTTAGAATAATGGCTAGTGTTGTTCATGAAATGAAGTACCCTCCACAAAATCAATAGCTATCAACACAAGCAAACGCTGCTATAACTTGGAATAAACAGAGAAAATGGGAAATAGTGAGACCTTGTTTCTAAAAATCATTTTTAGATAGGAGAAATTTCTGTCAGCAAAAATAATGACTCATGCCTCTAGAACTCTGAGAAAATGCTAAAATCAATGGCATAATTTTCAAAGTTAATAAATTTCCAATTATAAAAATAATATAAACAGATGCTGGCAAAGCTGCAGAAAAAAAGGGAATGCTTATGCACTGTTGGTGGGAATGTAAATTAGTTCAGCCACTATGGAAAGCAGTTTGGAGATTTCTCAAAGAACTTAAAACATAGCTACCATTTGACCCAGCAATCCCATTACTGGGTATATATCCAAAAGAAAAATCGTCTACCAAAAAGACACATTCACTCATAGGGTCATCGCAGCACTGTTCACAATAACAAAGACATGGAATCAACCTAGATTCCCATCAACAGTGGATTGGATAAAGAAAATGTGGTACATATGTATCATGGGATACTACCTAGCCATAAAAAAGAATGAAATCACATCCTTTGAAGCAAAATGCATGCAGCTGGAGGCCATCATCCTAAGCAAATTAACACAGGAACCAAAAAACAAATATCGCATGTTCTCACTTATAAGTGAAAGCTAAACATTGAGTACTCATGTACATAAAGAGGAAAATAATAAACACTGGGGATACTAGACTCGGGAGGGAGGAAGGGAAGCAAGGATTGTAAAATTAACTATTGGGTACTATTCTCAGTAGTTGTGTGATGGGATCATCATACCCTAAACCTCAGCATCACACCCAGGTAACAAACCTGCACATGTACCCCCTGAATTGAAAATAAAAGTTGAAATTATTTTTAAAAATAGTAGTAGGTATAAACTAGAAAACAGTAAACAAATGTTTAAAAAATTTACATTTCAGCAACAGTCACCATTCATATTTTGAAAAATTTTCTTCTAGTTTTCCTCACCATATTTTGATACCATAACTGAGATTTCATTGTAAGCATTGTTTTGCATCCCGCCTTTTTCTACTATTATAAGACCAATGTTCTGCCTTGTTATTGTAAATTTTTAATGGCAGGAAAATATTACATTGAACAGGTAAACCGTGTTTTCTTAACTAACATTTTATTGATGATTTTTTATCTTTTGAATTTCGGTGTTGTGATAAATATGTTTGTTAATGAAGCTTTTTTAATATGTCTGATTTATTTTTTAAGAGCAGCTCCCAGAATTGTAAATACTAGGTCATACATTATGAACAATTTGAAGAATCTTAAAACGTGAAGCTAAATTGCTTTCAAGTATGTTTTCTAATCCATGTCCCTCCAACTGTGCATGCAAATTCAGACACTTTTCAGAAAAGTCTAAGTCTACTTCACACCAATTCCAAAATAAATTATCCTAAGGAAACAAAAATGACATATTAAATGTTTTTTAATGCCTAATATTACTTCAATTTTAAGTACAGAATTGTCGAATTTTTATTGTAAAGGTCCTGCTGCTATGTGTTTTCCAAGCAGCCTTAAATCCATTTTAGAAGATTAAGCAAAATTAATTAATGTCCAATTTTATGCAATATTAAATGATAAATATATCTAGAACAATGATAAATATATCTAGAACATGTATATCCTATCTTATAGAACTTAAAACATAAGGTTGTAGTTTAGTAATTAAAGTTTATAATTGTTATAAACATGATTGTTATATAATTGTTATATCTTTGCTTTTCCCATGTGGTCGAAGCTATGATTTACCTTTCTCTATACAAGGGCCCCCCAATTAGAGCATTATTTCTGTGGAGAAAACTGACCCTAATGGCATGATCCTCTTTTCTAGTCATTTCCATAAAGACTATGTGGTGGATATAGAGCCTTTTCAGTAGTTCTTCAGTAGTTCTATGAGAACATAACCCACTTCATTCTCTGGGTTCACTTAAAAGCTATTGAGTCCCTCCGCCATGAAGGCATGACACTAGGCAATGAGTAGTCAAATATGGAAAGGCATTGATTTGGTGAGGAGACATACCTGGGGCTGTGAAGTGTATGTCATGGGAGCACAGAAGGCACATTTAATTAACTCACCAAGAGATAAGGTATTATTTGAGCTACAACTTTTAAAATGAAAGCTTTGTCAGAGAATATTGGAGAAAGCATTACAGATAATGAGAACAACACATGCAAAGACATAAGTCCAATACATTCTGGGAGACAGAGTTAATTCCATGTGAGGGAGTAAAACAGGGCTGAGCTTGGAACACTGGGGAGAGACATAATGTAGAACAGGTCTGAGGGGGCTACATCATGCATTGTATGCTGATGTGTTAGAAAGCAGTTTCGATTGTATTTTGTAGATAATGGGAAACTATTGAATACACTTGCCAGGAAAAGATTTTTGTGTCATAATTATAACTCTGACATCTATGTAATAAATAGTTTGAGGTAGAAAGAGTCTATGCATAAAAACACTTGTGAAGTTATTACATGAGCTCAGGAGAAACATTAGTGTATAAATTAGGGTAGTGAAAGCTAGAAGGGAAAATAAGGTAGTAAAATACCATATTTTAAGAAAGGTAGTAAAAACAATAAGACTTAGGAAATGATTGAATATGGAGAATGTACTCCTAGAACTGATTTTGTAAAAATTATCTCAGTGGTGGGTTATTCAGTAAGATCTCATTTATTTATTACAATTGGGAGGAAAAGTCTATTTGATTTGTCCCAAGTCTAAATTATAGAATATTTGTCATTAAAAGATACTTTAATATATAGTTAAGCATCACTCAACAATAGGAATATGTCCTGAGAAATGAGTCATTAGGCAATTTCATCATGTGTGAACATCAGAGAGTACATTTACACAAACCTAGATAGTATAGCCTACTACATACCTAGGCTCTGTGGTATAGCCTATTGTTCCTAGGCTATAAACCTGTACAGCATGTTACTGTACTAAATACTGTAGGCAGTTGTAACACAATGGTATTTATGTATCTAAACATATCTAAACAAAAAAAATGTAGAGTAAAAACACAGTATAAAAGATAAAAAAAAAAAAAAGATACACCTATATAGGGCACTTACCATGAATGAAACTTGCAGTACTGGAAGTTGCTCTGGGTGAGTCTGTGAGTGAGTGGTGAGTGAATGGCCTAGGACATTATTGGACACTATTATAGACTATTAACTCTGTGTACCTAGGTTATACTACATTTATCTTTTAAAATTTGTACCTCAATAATAAATTAATCTTAGTTGACTGTAACATTTTACTTTATAAACTTTTTAATTTTTTAACTTTTTGGCACTTTTATAACACCTAGCTCAAAACACAAACACATTGTGCAGCTGTACAAAAACATTTTCTTTCTTTCTTTGGTTTTGTTTTGTTTTGTTTTTGTAGAGACAGGGTCTTGTCATGTTGACCACACTGGTTGCGAAGTTCTGGGCTCAAGCAATCCTCCTGTCTCGGCCTTTCAAAGTGCTGAGATTACAGGGGTGAGCCATTATTCTACAGGTTTTTATCTATTAAAAAAAATTCTTTTTTATTACTTTTTAAACTTTTTTGTTAAAAATGAAGTCACAAACACATTATCCGAGGCCTACATAGGGTCAGAATCATCGAGACATCACTAGGCAACAGGAATTGTTCAGTTCCATTATCATCTTATGCGACCACTGTCACATATGCAGTCGAGAGAAATGTCATTATGCACAAAGCTGACAAAAACAAGCAATGGGGAAAGGACTCCCTATTCAATAAATGGTACTGGGAGAACTGGCTAGCCATATGCAGAAGGTTGAAATTAGACCCCTTCCTTATACTATAAACAAAACTCAAGTCAAGATGAATAAAAGACTTACATTTAAAACCTAAAACTATAAAAACCCAGGAAATAGCCTAGGTGATACCATTCTAGACATAGGAACCGGCAAAGATTTCATGACAAAGATGCCAAAAGTAATTGCAAAAAAGCAAAAATTGACAAATGGGACCTAATTAAACTTAAGAGCTTCTGCACAGCAAAAGAAACTATCAACAGAGTAAACAGACAACCTGCAGAATAGGAGAAAATATTTGCAAACTATGCATCTGACAAAGGTCTAATATCCAGAATCTATAAGGAATTTAAACAAATTTACAAGAAAAAAAACAAACAATCCCATTAATTAGTGGGCAAAGGACATGAACAGGCACTTCTCAAAAGAAGAAATACATGTGACCAGCAAGCATATGACAAAAAGCTTGATATCACTGATCATTAGAGAAATGCAAATCAAAACCACAATGAGATACAATCTCACACCAGTTAGAATGGCTGTTATTAAAAAGTCAAAAGATAACAGGTGTTGGCAAGGTTTTGGAGAAAAGGGAACACTTTTAGTTCAACCATTGTGAAAAGCAGTGTGGCAATTCCTCAAAGAGCTAAAAACAGAAATAACATTCGACTCAGCAATCCTATTACTGGGTATATACCCAAAGGAATGTAAATCATTCTACCATAAAGACACATGCACATGTATGTTCATTGTAGCACTATTCACAATAGCAAAGACATGGAGTCAACCTAAATGCCCATCAACAGTAGACTAGATAAAGAAAATATGGTACATATTCACCTTAGAATACTATACAGCCATAAAAAAGAAAAAGATCATGTCCTTTGCAAGAACATGGTTGGACCTGGAGGCCATCATCCTTAATGAACTAATACAGGAACAGAAAACCAAGTACTGCATGTTCTCACTTATAAGTGGGAGATAAATGATGAGAACACATGGACATGTAGAGGGGAATAACAGACACTGGGGCCTACTTGAGGTTGGAGGGTGGGAGGAGGGAGAGAATTGGAAAAAATAACTATTAGGTACTAGGGTTATCACCTGGGTAATGAAATAATCTGTACCACAAACTCCTGCAACATGAGTTTACCTATATAACAAACTTGCACATGTACTCCTGAACCTAAAATAAAAGTTAAAGAAATCTCATTATGATTATGCAGTTCATGACTGTCTTTATGCACAGAAAGTTTGCCAGTCACACTTTCGTGGCATTTAAAAATGAATAAAGGAAATTTTGGCAAAAGGAAGGACCCACATGGGAAAGCTTTAGTCTATCAGACAACACTATGACCACATTTAAGATATTGTATTAGTTTGCTAGGGCTGCCATAATAAAGCACCATAGACTGGGTGGCTTAAACAATTAAAATTTATTTTCTCAAAATTCTGGAAGCTAGATGTCTGAGATCAAGGTATCAGCAGGCTTCATTTCCTCTGAGGCCACTCTCCTTGTTTTGTAGATGTCTGTCTTCTCACTATGTCCTCACATGGTGTTCCCGCTGTGCCTATCTGTGTCCTAATCTCTTATAAAGAGACCAGTCATGTTGAGTTAGCACCCACCCTAATGGGTTCTACCTTAATTAGTTTCTAGAGACCCTATCTCTAAAATGGTCACATTCTGAGCTATTGGGGGGTTTCAACATATGAATTTGGATGAGGGGAGGGGGCGCACAATTCAGTCCATAAGAGATATGGGTGGGTTAATGGTCTCTAAAGGCATTTTCATTACTACACCATTAAAGTTTAGGAGGGGAGAGGGGAGGGAGGAGGGATAGCATTAGGAGATATACCTAATGTTAAATGACGAGTTAATGGGTGCAGCACACCAACATGGCACATGTATACATATGTAACTAACCTGCACGTTGTCCACATGTACTCTAAAACTTAAAGTATAATAAAAAAATTAAGAATAAATGTAATATGAAGGAGGTTATAAAAGTTAAGAAAATTTTAGCAAAACGATTTTCTAAAATTAAAGCACCTACATTCAATTACTATTCCCAGCTAATGAATGAATGCCTTCTCAATACTGACTAATATGGTATATTTATTCACAAGAAAGACCTAGGAATGGCATAAAACAAATCGTGAAGATATTTCATTACAATTCAACAATGTTTATCAAAAAAACTTGTCAAGTTCATTGTATATTTCACATTTGCTTGTAAGTGAAATTGGATTATTTGATTCAGAAATGAGAATCTGGGCTGGGTGCTGTGGTTCATACCTGTAATCCCAGCATTTTGGAAAGCCAGGGCAGGAGGATCACTTGATCCCAGCAGTTCCAGACCAGCCTGGCAACAGCAAGAGACTCTATCTCTACAAAAAGAAGTTTAAAAATTAGCCAGGCATGGAGGTGCACGCTAGCAATCTCAGCTATTTGGGAGGGTGAGGTGGAAGAGGCACTTGAGTGCAGAAGTTGAAAGTTACAGTGAACTATGATGTAGTCACTGCACTCCAGCCAGGATGACAAAGCAAGACTCTGTCTCTAAAAACAAAAAAGAAAAGAAATGGAAATGAAAAGCCAATTAAAGAAGCTTTTGTTATTGTTTAGATGGGTTCACACCCAGACTTTAAAAAACTGAGACTTTCATAAACAAAATCAAAATTTGTAAAGGACTGAAAATTACCAGTAGTCAGGGAATGTGTTCTGTATGGTGCAAAAACAGCATATTAAATGAAACTTCTCTGTAGAATTTCAGACTGAAAAGATCTAATGTCAGGTTTTATGTTTTAATCAATTTGGGGGCCTGTTTATTTAACTGGGGTTTTTTGGTGGTGGTTGTTTTAATTTCTACGTTGGAACACAACATACTGTGCTCCAAAATCTAAGAGCCTATAATTTTCTGGGTTTTATTTTTCTTAACAAAATGAAATGTTAAACCATCTCTCTGGGCACTTTTGATAAAATATGTATTACAAAAAGCAATAAGACATTCAGAGCAAAGAACAGGATCTAATAATGCTTATCATAGCACTGTGAAAAGCAAGAATTTCAGGTCCTCCTCCCACCTCCTTCATTTCCTCTCTGTAGCCCCAAATGTGACAATTTCTTAGTTCCAACTCTCCCTTTGTAAGAAACAGTGCATAAAAGTAGCTATTTGTTTCACATTTTGTTAGCATGCGTGTGGGCAGGTGGGTAGCATCTTACTGGGTAGCATCCAGTAAGAATTCTGAAATTCTTAAGAGTATATCTTGCTATTAATATATTATTACAGTCATGAAAATCAAGTTACCCAGTTGCCAAGCTGTAATAACAACAAATAATAACAAAAAGACCTGAGTGAGGAACTGATGATAGAAAGTAATATTTATTGTATTCCTACTATGAATTAGTGTGTTAGATTATTTGCATACATTATTAAATATTTTCTTAAAATAGATTAGGAAACTAAGATTTGAGAAGGTGAAATGATTTTCCCAGATTACTAGAGCGAGCCAACAGCAGAAGTGGTATTTGATAATAAGTCTGGACTCCATCTCAAAAAAAAAAAAAAAAAAGAAAAGAAAAGAAAATAAGTCTGACTTTCAAATCATGCTCATTTCCCCACAGCATGTTCCAGAAGGCCAGGGCGGTCGGTTCTGCTGCACAAATGAGGTCAGAGCAATCAAGAGAGCCAAGGAAGTCCTACTTATCTGGATTAAATAACTCAATCTACAAACTACTCAACTTTAATATAAGGTGGAAAATAGGATTTCAAAAGAAAAGAAGAAGGAGAAGAACAAGGACAAGAAACTGAGTTTTGGCAGAAGGCAAGTGAGCAATTAAAAATAAATCTTTCATGATTTGCTCCCACAGGCAAAAAATATAATAATATTTTTCAATCCTGCTTAACCCAAAATAATCTGAGATATTTAAAGTATTACAACCACTGGTGACAAACCAGGGAGTTTATTATGTTCTTTCACAAGCAGAGACGTCTCAGGAGTCGGGTAGTACATATGACAAGGAACCAAGTTACCCACATAACAGTGTGCAGCTTTCTGTCACATATGAAAAGGCTGCTGTGTCTGCACCTCACAGCAGTTGGGAATTCCATTTTACACAAACTAGGCCAGAAAATCTACTCTCCATTCTGGCTGAGAAACCAGGATATTTTTTAATCCTAGTAGGCATTCAGACACAAATGGAGTCAAAGCCAGAGAGAAATTTGCACACCTTCCAAACCAATACTTCACTACAAATAGGGGTCAGTGTCTTAAGGCACACCAGTAGTTAATAGCAGAATCCCATATTAGAAAGCTCAACATTTCAGAAACCCAACCAATACTCCAAAATAAATGCATCATTTTATTTGCAAAGTAGGGCATCATTACCTAAAGATAACAGCATCTGCAGAAATACTTACTTAGCAACTAAATCACAAGGTCTTCCTTAGAGCTTCCTTTAGGCTAGAAATAGTCCCTGCTTAGCCAGCTGGCCTGAAAAACTAACGACAAACATAAAAATCAAAAGAATTCCAGAGCTCATCGTAGCCCTCATCTGCTCAAAAGGGTGTCTGTAGCACTTTTTTGAGATTGAGGGTTATAAAGCTAGTGGTAGGGGGAAATGCCTGGATTTTCTTCCTTTGTGGAATGTTTTTATACCTGGAAATATCTACTGTTCTAGTTAATCAAATGTACAACTTTTTCTTCAACTGTTACTTAAACTTAAGGTTGAAACTATTGCCAACAGTTGAAACAAGCCAAGGCAGATTTTAGACACTGGACTGTGTCAGCACTGGCCATAACTGCAGTGCATCTAGGTCCATGAGAACACTGAGTAATGCTTGTTTCCAGGCAGCCAAAGAGATCTTAAAGGAAGATACTTTACTGTTCTGTTTCTAGAAACACATTTTAGAAGCTCCCATTGCTGCTATCCTAATTTTGTTGTGATTTCCAAATGTATTTTATTTGCAAAGAAAGCAAACACTTCCATATTAATGAAATGCTGATTATAAAGAAAAATAAGCTTATGTCATATTTTATCCCTTTAATTTACAATGAAGTATATTTTAAATTCACACATGAGCATGTGGAAAGAAAGAGATAATAATTCCACAATGAATTATCTGTAGAAAATGTTATTTCTAATTTACTTTTGACCTAAACATAAGGGCAGAAAGATTCATAGATGACTATTCTAACAGAGCTTGCTTGAATCACTCATATCATTTTATTTTCATTGAGCCCTAGTTATCCAAAAGATACTGTGGTAAGTGCTGAGGAAATAGGAAGAACTATGAGATAAACTCCAGCTTTCTTGACATCTGATCTGAGTAAAGTTAATAAACACACAATTAAAATGCAGTGCAGGTCAGTATATAAAAAGTATCCTGCACACCAAGTGCATAGTTCAAGGGACTTCCTATCAGGAATTATGAGGGAAACTTCTGCCTCAATCAGTAGTCTGCAAACTACAGCCCACAGGCCAAATCTACCTGTCACCTGTTTTTAGATGGCCCATGAGCTGAGACTAGTTTTTAACATTTTTAAATTGTTAAACAAAACTGATTGAACAAAACTAAACAGGAGAATAGTATATCATGACACATGAAAAATATTTAAAACTGAATGTTCAATGTCAGCAAGTAAAGGGTTTGTTGTTGTTGTTTATTTGTTTGTTTTAAGAGACATGGTCTCTTTCTGTCACACAGGCTAGAATACAGTGGTGTGGGCCTACTTCACTGCAGCCTGTAACTCCTGGGCTCAAGTAATCCTCCCATCTCAGCCTCTTGAGTAGCTGGGACTACAAGCACATGCCCAGCTAAATTTTTTATTTTGTTGTATGGACAGGATCTGCCTATGCTGACCAGGTTGGTACAAATGAAGTTTTATTGGAACACAGCTACACCCATTCCTTTGTATATTATCTATGTCTGCTTTCATGCTACAACAGAGTTGAATGATTACCACAATTACTGTATGGCTCAGAAAGCCTAGAATATTTGTTGTCTGGCCCTTCACAGGAAAAAAAAAAAAAAGTCAATTCCTGGCCTAGAGGATTGAGAGAAGCTTTATGATTGACCTGTATTTTGAAGGAAAGAAGTTTGTACTGGCAAAGTCATAAGTGAGGGGTGATTTTGGGGGAAAGGAATGTGCCAGCATAGCACTGGAAAGACACCTGGCTTACTCAGAAGGTAGTGAACACATCAGTGCCACTGGGGTGAAAAGCTTATGAAGAAACTTAAGATGAATGATGCATACTGAAAAGACAGGTGGGGCTCATCTTGAGGACAGTCTTGAATGCTTGGCTTGAGGATGGGGAGGAAAGAAGTACTTCCCATGCCCCTACACCACTTCTATTTTCCTGTGGAAAATAAAGACCAAGTAAGCATTTTTTTAAAAAAACTGAAGAGTGACCTATTCAAAGGAAATTTGATAGAAAAACCTTCCATCAACTAATTTGGCAACAATTGTGTAGAATGGAAGGTTGGTAGGAAGAGAATAATAAAAAGATAAAGGATATTAAAAACAAAGATTTAGTTAGAAGACTCTTAAATTGTTCTATCAGTAAAAAAGCAAGACAAAGAGAGAACTGTGTGGCTGCCTTATGGATATCTGTACACCCAAAGATCTACATAGAGAACACACTTAATGTACAATGGGCAAATAAAGGCACAAATGGATAAAAGGGCAGTAGGAAAGAGGGAAGTGGAGATGAGAAGGACCGCAGGAAATGGGGAAAGGAAAACATTGATGGATTTTGGCAACTGACTGAGTGAAGAAAACAAAAAATAGACACATTAGTAGATTAAGGTAAGCAAGGAAACCATGTTTAACATTTAGCTTTACCCATGCAGAATTTTAGGCAACAAAAGGTCATTCACAAGAAACTGTCTAGCAGCAATTGGAAATGTGAGACGCTAGCTCTGGAGCAAGATCAGTCAAGATAGGGATGAGAAGCACCCATCTATTCTTCAGAGATAAGTCTAACAATCCCAACGTGCTTCTCATGAATAACTGGCAGGAACTTACTATGCCTAGATTTATTTTAGGATGGGTATGCAACTTTCTAAACCTTCCAGAGTGAGTTATATAGACAGAATTTCTCACTGTGCAGCAGTTTGCATCGTATATTAAAGATGAACTTATTAACATGACATTCATTGTCCTCAGAGATTCCACAATCACATCACAATTTGCACTAACAAAAAGAGGAAGGGAAGGAGAGAGGGAGAGAGGGAAAGAAGGAGAGAGAAAGGGAGGGAGGGGGAGAGGGAGGGAGGAAGGGAGGACAGAAGGAAGGAAGAAAGGAAGAAAGGGAGGGAGGGAGGAAGGGAGGGAGAGAGGGCAGGCGAATGGAAGGGAGGAATGAAGTGAGAGAGAAAGAGAAGCATTAAGGCACCATTCTGTTACTGGCAAACAATCGCTTGCTTCTGGAAAATTTTGACACAGACTAAATGAATAGTAGAAAATACTGATTTCATTTTATCCGTTTTCCCTCACCTAGATATTTCTTAAATGGAGTCTAGAAAATAGGTTTTTCAAAGTGTGCTTATAAATATTATGTATTTATTTGCAAGGCTGCTCTGGAATACTTCCCTGATCATGCCCATTTCCAGCAATTATCATTTTAAATTATGTTTTAACAACTAAATGATCCCAGGAGCACAGAAAGGGGCATATAACAATTTCACGGTGTGATACCCTTTCTATGAACTGTACTGACGCCAGTGGATTACAATAAATAAGGCAGCTTTTACCTCCAGCAAACTTAACCAAAACCATACACATATATCCACAAAAACCTGTAGGCAGTTCCACATTTTCTTGATGAACACTGGGCTTTCTTGAAATGTATACTTAGCCATGGAGGCTAGAAAGTATCTCTCTCTGTTTTATAAGCATCATTATCAGAACAATGGTATGCAGGGAATGAAACATATCTCCACTGGGATTTATGTTCACAAAGAATTCAGAAAGCACAGAATCTGCACCTGCTACAAGATAATATTGGGCATGGAATTAAAAAATAAAATTTCAACACAAAGCTAAAGATATTTACACTAGTTGGGATATTTACTGTACTGAGTTATGAGAAAATTAAAATTTAACCTCTTATAAAGGCACCCAAAGTCCAGAATATTAAGATACTATAAGATACAAAGAATTTAGATTTGTACTGGAAAACAATAGAAAAGATACTACAGATCAGATTACAGTGGAAGGAAGGGAAGGGCGGACAAGGTCCTGCCAGTTCTTTTTTTTTTTTTTTTTTTTTTTTTTTTTTGAGACCGAGTCTCGCTCTGTCGCCCAGGCTGGAGTGCAGTGGCACGATCTCAGCTCACTGCAAGCTCCACCTCCCGGGTTCACGCCATTCTCCTTTCTCAGCCTCCGGAGTAGCTGGGATTACAGGCGCCCGCCACCACGCCTGGCTAATTTTTTGTATTTTTAGTAAAGACGGGGTTTCACCGTGTTAGCCAGGATGGTCTCGATTTCCTGACCTCATGATCCGCTGGCCCCGGCCTCCCAAAGTGCTGGGATTACAGGCGTGAGCCACCGCGCCCAGCCCTGCCAATTCTTACTATTAATTCTGCCCACATACACATCTTATACTAAGTTTTCTACTTTTAATTGAGTTAGAGAATGCCCCAGACTCTACACTCTGGTCGTCCTGTCAGAAGTAACACTGAGACCGTCAAGGATGGGAACAAGACCTCAAATGCTTTTCTAGGTCTTTATTTGCAGCCTGTTACACATGATATTGACCATCCTTTCCCCAAATAATTAAGATGACTCTTTCCACCTCTACTCTGTAACTGAGGGCCCTCTTGTCACCTTATGACTGTGGGACAATGAAATGAACAGGAATACTTAAAGCTGCCTACTAAAGCCCATGACCAGTCTGCCATGCTGACTAATTTTGAGAAAAAAAAATTAAACCTTTGAGAAAAACTAAGGACTTTTTCTTAAGGATTTTATTTATTACACCTGTTCCTCTATGCATCCCTTTTTCTCTTGAACTAAAATACTCATTTACTACAAGAGGAAAGCGTGAAAGAAACCTTCACATGTTATACCTATTACTCACTTCTCACAAGAACATGAAGGACAACACTGTCCATGTAATAGTGAGCAGAGAGGTAGTTAAGAATTTCAAATACCAGAGTGAGTTCCAAGATTTATACTCCACCCCAGCCCACCTTTCTTTATATCAATTACAGAACCAAATAGCCTCTCTCTCTCTCTTTCTCTCTCTCTCTCTCTCACACACACACACACACACTCCAAACCCCCCAGTAAGTTAAGAACATTCACAGATGTACATCACATGCAAATCTATGTAGTAGAAACTGTGACCAGCTCTGTACCTTATTTGGTTTTGTCCCTGCTGGATTCAGCTGCCCCTACCCTAGCACTGGCATAATTTTGCCATCAATGGAAAGAGTATATTCATATCAATCCCCTATTAGTCAACAGAATAATTAGCTGTCATCAAAAAATAACTCAGTCAGCTGGGCATGGTGGCTCATGCCTGTAATCCCAGCACTTTGGGAGGCTGAGGAGGGTGGATTGCTTGAGGTCAGGAGTTCAAGATCAGCCTGGCCAACATGGTGAAACCCTGTCTCTACTAAAAATACAAAAATTAGCTGGGCGTGGTGGTGCATGCCTGTAATCCCAGCTACTTAGGATGTTGAAGCACGAGAATCGCTTGAACCTGGGAGGCGGAGGTTTCAGTGAGCTGAGATCGAGATCGTGCCACTGCACTCCAGCGTGGGCGACAGAGCAAGACTCTGTCTCAAAAAAAAAAAAAAAAAAAAAAAAGTAACTCTGTTAGTAAAATCTGTAACACTCTCTAATTTAGTAAGTATAGCCTGCAAAGGTAATCCATACTTGCTTTCTTCCCCTGCTTCATTTCCCACTCCCCTCTTCTCATATCCTACTGTAACATCATCTGCATAGAATTATCTTTCTAATCCATAATACGCCATACTCTTTCATGATTCTGGGTCTTTGAAAATATTATTCTTTTTTTCTCTTCAACTTTTAAGTTCCGGGATAGATGTTCAGGATGTGTAGGTTTGTTACATAGCTAAATGTGTGCCATGATGGTTTGCTGCAAAGATCAACCCATCACCTAAGTATTAAGCCCAGCATCGATTACTACTCTTCATGATGCTCCCCCTCCCCCTAGCCCCACTCCTGATGGGCCCCAGTGTGTGTTGTTCCCCCTCATTTGTCCATGTGTTCTCATCGTTCAGCTCCCGCTTATAAGTGAGAACATGCGGTGTTTGGTTTTCTGTTCCTGCATTAATTTGCTGAGGATAATGGCTTCAGCTCCATCCATGTCCCTGCAAAGGACATGATCTCCTTCCTTTTTATGGCTGCATAGTATTTCATGGTGTATATGTACCACATTTTCTTTATCCAGTGTATCACTGATGGTCATTTAGGTTGATTCCATGTCTTTGCTATTGTGAATAGTGCTGCAATGAACATACGTGTGTGTGTATCTTATAACAAAATTATTTATATTCCTTTGGGTATACACCCAGTAATGGTATTGCTGGGATTAATGGTATCTCTGCCACAGCAGCTTTGAGGAATCACCACACTGTCTTCCACAATGGTTGAACTGATTTACACTACCACCAACAGTGTATAAGTGCTCCCTTTTCTGCAAAACCTCACCAACATCTGTTATCTTTTGACTTTTTAATAACAGCCATTTTGACTAGTGTGAGATGGTATTTCACTATGGTTTTGATTTGCATTTCTCTAATCGTCAGTGATGTTGAGCTTTGTTCATATGTTTTTGGCCACATGAATGTCTTCTTTTGAAGTGTTTGTTCATGTATGTACTTTGCCCACTTTTTAATGGGATTGTTTGTTTTCTTCTCATAAATTTGTTTAAGTTCCTTGTAGATTCCAGATATTAGACTTCTGTCAGACGGATACATTGAAAAAAATTTCTCCCATTCTGTAGGTTGTCTGTTTACTCTGGTGGTTTCTTTTGCTGTGCAGAAGCTATTTAGTTTAATTAGATCTCATTTGTCAATTTTTGCTTTTGTTGCAATTGCTTTTGGGGTTTTCATCATGAAATATTTACCCATGCCTATGTGCTGAATGGTATTGTCTAGATTTTCTCCCGGGGTGATTATAGTTTGGGGGTTTACATTTAAGTCTTTTTTTTTTTTTTTTTCTGTGAGAATGAGTCTCGCCCATGCTGGAGTGCAGTGGCACGATCTTGGCTCACTGCAAGGTCCGCCTTCCAGGTTCATGCCATTCTCCTGCCTCAGCCTCCCAAGTAGCTGGGACTACAGGTGCCTGCCACCACACCTGGCTAATTTTTTTGTATTATTAGTAGAGACGGGGTTTCACGGTGTTAGCCAGGATGGTCTCGATCTCCTGACCTTGTGATCTCCCCGCCTCGGCCTCCCAAAGTGCTGGAATTACAGGTGTGAGCCACCGTGCCCAGCCCATTTAAATCTTTAATCTATCTGGGGTTAATTTTGTATAAGTTGTAAGGAAGGAGTCCAGTTTCAATTTCCTGCATATGGCTAGCCACTTCTCCCAGCACCATTTATTAAATAGGGAATCCTTTCCCCATTGCTTCTTTTTGTCAGGTTTGTTTAAGATCAGATGGTTGTAGGTGTACAGTTTTATTTCTGAAGTTTTCTGAGTTCTCTATTCTGTTCCATTGGTCTATGTATCTGTTCTTGTACGAGTACTATGCTGTTTTGGTTATTGCAGTCTTGTAGTATAGTTTGAAGTCAGGTAGTGTGATGCCTCCAGCTTTGTTATTTTTCCATAGGATTGTCTTGGCTATTTGGGCTCTTTTTTGGTTCCACATGAACTTTTTTAAAGTTTCTTCTAATACTGTGAAGAATGTCAGTGGTAGTTTAATGGGAATGGCATTGAATCTATAAATTACTTTGGGCAGTATGGCCATTATCATGATATCGAGTCTTCCTATCCATGAGCATGGAATTTTTTTCCATTTGTTTGTGTTGTCTCTGATTTCTTTGATCAGTGGTTTGTAGTTCTTGAACAGGTCCTTCACTTCCCTGTTAGCTGTATTCCTAGGTATTTTATTCTCTTTCTAGCAATTAGGAATGGGAGTTCATTCATGATTTGGCTCTCTGTTGCCTGTGTTGGCGTATAGGAATGTTAGCAATGTTTGCACATTGATTTTGTATCCTGAGACTTTGCTGAAGTTGCTTAACAGCTTAAGAAGCTTTTGGGCTGAGACACTGGGATTTTCTGGATACAAGATGATGTCATCTGCAAACAAGGATAATTTGACTTCCTCTCTCCCTAATTGAATATCCTTTATTTCTTTCTCTTGCCTTATTGTCCTGGCCAGAACTTCCAATACTATGTTGAATAAGAGTGGTGAGAGAGAGCATCCTTGTTTTGTGCCAGTTTTCAAGGGGAATGCTTCCAGCTTTTGCCCATTCAGTATAATATTGGCTATGGGTTTGTCATAAATGGCTGTTATTATTTTGAGATATGTCCCTTCAATACCTAGTTTATTGAGAGTTTTTAATATGAAGGGAGGTTGAATTTTATCGAAGGCCTTTTCTGTGTCTATTGAGATAATCATGTGGTTTTTGTCTTTAGTTCTGTTTATGTGATGAATTACATTTATTGATTCATGTATGTTGAACCAGCCTTGCATCCTGGATATGAAGCCAACTTAATCGTGTTGGATAAACTTTTTGATATGCTGCTGGATTTGCCAGTATTTCATTGAGGATTTTTGCATCGATGTTCATCAGGGATATTGGCCTGAAGTTTTCTTTTTCTGTTGTATCTCTGCCAGGTTTTGGTATCAGAATGATGCTGGCCTCATAAAATAAGTTAGGGAGAAGTCCATCCTTTTCCATTGTTTGGAATAGTTTCAGAAGAAACTATTGGCCTTGGCCAGCTCTTCTTTGTACCATGTTGGAATTCAGCTGTCAATCCATCTGGTCCTGGGTTTTTTTTGGTTGGTAAGCTATTTACTACTGCCTCTATTTCAGAATTCATTATTAGTCTATTCAGCGATTCAATTTCTTCCTGGTTCAGTCTTCGAAGGGTTTATGTGTCCAGGAATTTATCCATTTCTTCTAGATTTTCTGGTTTATGTGTATAGAAGTATTCTCTCAGAGTTGTTTGTATTTCTGTGGGATCAGTGATACTATCCCCCTTGTCATTTCTGACTGTGTCTTATTTGATTCTTCTCTCTTTTCTTCTTTATTAGTTTAGCAAGCAGTCTATCTATTTTATTACTTTTTTTGAAAAAAGCTCCTGAATTCATTGATATTTTGAAGGGTTTTTCATGTCTCTGTCTCCTCCAGTTCTGCTCTCATCTTGGTTATTTCTTGTCTTCTGCTAGGTTTAGGGTTTGTTTGCCCTCAGTTCACTAGTTATTTTATTTGCGTTGTTAATTTGAGATCTTTCTAGCTTTTTGTTATGGGCATTTAGTGCTATAAATTTCACTCTTAACACTGCTTCAGCTGTGTCCCAGAGATTCTTGCTAAAAGAAGCACTAAATATGGAAAGGAAAAACCATTACCAGCCATTACAGAAATACACTGAATTACACAAACCAGTGACACTATGAAGCAACCATATAAACAAGTCTGCAAAATAACCAGCAAGCATCATGATGACAGGTTCAAATGCACACAGAACAATATAACTTTAAATGTATGTAAATGGACTAAATAAATGCCCAATTAAAAGACACAGAATGGAAGCTGGATAAACAGTCAAGACCCATATCAATGGTAACAGTTTTCCCTTTCCATATTTAGTGCTTCCTTCAGGAGCTCTTGCAAGGCAGGCCTGGTGGTGACAAATTCCCTAAGCATTCACTTGTCTGAAAAGGATTGTATTTCTTCTTCACTTGGGAAGCTTAGTTTGGCCAGATATGAAATTCTGGGTTGGAAAATCTTTTCTTTAAGAATGTAGAATATTGGCCCCCAATCTCTTCTGGCTTGTAGGGTTTCTGTTGAGAGGTCTGCTGTTAGTCTGATGGGCTTCCCTTTGTAGGTGACCTGGCCTTCCTCTCTGGCTACCCTTAACATTTTTGTCTTTCATTTCAACCTTGGAGAATCTGATGATTATATGTCTTTGGGTTGATCTTTTCATGAAGTATCTTACTGGGGTTCTCTGGATTTCCTGAATTTGAATGTTGGCCTGTCTTGCTAGGTTGGGGAAGTTCTCCGGGAATGATATCCTTTTTCTTTGTTTGTTTGTTTGTTTGAGACAGTCTCACTCTGTCACCTAGGCTGGAGTGCAGTGGTGTAATCTCAGCTCACTGCAGCCTCCCAGGTTCAAGCAATTTTCATGCCTCAGCCTCCTGAGTACCTGGGACTATAGGCGCACACCACCACACCCAGCTAACTTTTTGTATTTTAGCAGAGACAGGGTTTCACCATGTTGTCCAGGCTGGTCTTGAACTCCTGAGCTCAGGCAATCCACCTGCCTCAGCCTCCCACAGTACTGGAATTACAGGCATGAGCCACTGTGCCCGGCTCTCCTGGAATGACATCCTGAAGTATATTTTCCAACTTGGTTCCATTCTCCCCATCTCTTTAAGTTACCCCAATCAGTCATAGATTTGGTCTTTTTACATAGTCCCATATTTCTCAGAGTTCATTATTTTTCATTCTTTTTTCTCTATTCTTGTCTGCCTGTCTTATTTCAAAAAGACAGTCTTCAAGCTATAAGACTGTTTCCTCTGCCTGGTGTATTCTGCTTTTGATACTTGTGATTGCATTGTGAATTTCTCATGTTGTGTTTTTCAGCTCCATCAGGTCGGCTATGCTCCTCTCTAAATTATTCTGCCTCTCAGCTCCTGTATTGTTTTATCATGATTCTTAATTTCTTTGCATTGGGTTACAACATGCTCCTTTAGCTCAGTGAAGTTCGTTATTACCCATCTTCTGAAGCCTACTTTTGTCAATTCAGCCATCTCAGCCTCAGCCCAGCTCTGTGCCCTTGTTGCAGAGGTGCTGCAGTCATTTGGAGGAGAAAAAGTACTCTGGCTTTTTGAGTTTTCAGTGTTTTTGCCTTGATTCTCTTGTGGACTTATTTACCTTTGATATTTGAGGTTGCTGACCTTTGAATAAGGTTTTTGTGGGGTATTTTTTATTGATGTTGTTGTCGTTTTCTGTTTGTTTGTTTTTCTTTTAATAGTCAGGCCACTGTTCTGTAGGGCTGCCGTGGTTTGCTGGGGGATTGCTCCAGACCCTAGTTGCCTCAGTTTTTCCCTTACCTGGAGGTATCACCAGTGAAGTCTGCTAAACAGCAAAGATGGCAGCCTGCTCCTTCCTCTGGGAACTCCCGTCCCAGAGGGGTAACTGACCCAGCCTGGATGCTCCTGTAGGAGGTTTCTAGAGACCTTTGTTGGGAGTCTCACCCAGTCAGGAGAAACAGGATCAGGAGCCTGCTTAAAGAAGCAGTCTGGCTGCTTTTTGATAGAGCAGGTGTGCTGCATCAGGGTGACCTCCCTGGACTCTTCAGACCCAGCAGGCTGGAAAGGCTGAGGTGACTGTACTGCAGAGACATAAGCTTCCCCCCTCCCCCTGGGGGCTCCATCCTAGGGAAAGATTAGAGTTCTGTTTGTATAACTCTGGCTGGAGTTGCTGAAATTCCCACAGGGAGGCCCTGCCCCGTGAGGAGGGATGGATTCAGGTCCCACTTAAAGAAGTCTGGCCACGATCTGGCATAACAGCTGTGCTATTTTGTGGGGGACTCCTCCTTGTCTGACTACCTGGAATCCCAGGAACCAGCAGGCTAGAACAGCTGAATTGACCTAACTGCAGAAATGGTGGCAGCCCCTCCCGCTGGCAACTCGTCCATTTCAGGCAATCTCCAGCCCACTGCATTGTCGAACCTGAATTCCAAGCCAATGGGTCTTAACCTGAGAGGTGCCACGGAAGTGGGGCCCACAGAAGGATGCCGATTGGCTCCCTGGATTCAGCCTCCTTTCTAGAGGAATGTATGGATGGAACTCCCACCTTGCCAGAAATCCCCGGGCTAGAGACTGTAAAACTCCTGGGTCTCGGCCGCGCACTGTGGCTCACGCCTGTAATTCCAGCACTTTGGGAGGCCGAGGTTGGCGGATCACGAGGTCAGGAGATTGAGACCATCTTGGCCAACATGGTGAAACCCCGTCTCTACTAAAATACCGAAAAAAAAAAAATTAGCTGGGCGTGGTGGCAGCTGCCTGTAGTCCCAGCCATTCGGGAGGCTGAGGCAGGAGAATAGCTTGAACCCTGAGGGTGGAGGTTGCAGCGAGCCCAGACCGCGCCACTGCACTCCAGCCTGGTGACAGAGCAAGACTCCGTCAAAATTAAAAAATATATATATATACACATATATATGTGTATATATATAGTATATGTATATGTATATATATGTGTATATATAGTATATGTATATGTATATATATGTATATATATAGTATATGTATATGTATATATGTATATATATGTGTATATATGTATGTATATATGTGTATATATATGTATATAATATAAATAAAAATAAAAACCTGGGTCTCTATGTGAGCCTGAACGACAGCTCTGCTGAGACTCCACACAGCTCTGTGTATCGAACACAAGGCCCTGGTGGTGTGGGCTCACGAGGGGATCTCCTGATCTAGGGTTTGTAAAGATCTGTAGGAAAGCATGGTTTCCCGGGTGGAGTCAGGAAAGCATGGTTTCCCGGGTGGAGTCACGCCATCACTCACTGCTTCCCTTGGCTGGCGGTGAGGGTTTCTTTGCCTGCGTGCCGCTCCCACGTGGACCGTCACCCCACCCTGCTTTTCTCCATTTTCTGTGGGTCGAGTTGATTGCCTAGTCAGTGCCAGTGCGAGAACCTGGATATTTCAGTTGAAGACGCCAGATTTACTTGCCGTTTTCATTCTTCTCTGTGAGAGCCGTGGAACACAGCTGCTTCTTATCATCCGTCTTGGCCCCTCCCCCCAAAATATTAATATTATTCTTTTTCACCTAGCTGCCTTTTCCTTTCTGAATCAGCTGGCAAACTTCCTAACATCCTTCAAGATCCAGTTTCAAAGTCCCTTTTAACAGTGGCTCAAACCTGTAATTCCAGCACTTTGGAGGCCAAGGTGAAAGGATCACTTGCACCCAGGAGCTCAAGACCAACCTAGGGAACATAGTGAGACCCTGTCTCTAAAAGCATAAAAATTAGCCAGGCATGGTGGCACGTGCCTGTAGTCTCAACTACTCAGGAGGCTGAGGCAGGAGGATCATGTGAGCTCAGGGGGTTGAGGCTGCAGTGAGCCATGACCACACCACTGCACTCCAGCCTGGGCAACAGAGCAAGACCCTGTCTCTAAGTAAATAAATAAATAAAAATAAACAATAGAATCTCCATCTCTAGAAATTCTCCTTTATTTTGTCTATTGCCTTCTCCTGTCTGTGCTCTCCTGGAACTTTAGCGATGTCTCTAACACCTATCGTACTACACATAGAATTTATTTATATGTCTGTCTGTCCAGCTAGTCTGTGAATTCTAGCACCTAGAGCAATACCCAACTTTCAGTAAACAACAGATGTTGACTGGATGGTCTGTGACTGAATGAAGGAAATAGCGTAAGAACCTATGCTTTTCCTCAAATGCTTTACAGTATTAGTTCAGACTTGTTAGTTTATGCATATCTTTGGTGTAACTGACATAACTGTTCTTCATGAAGTCAAATAAAGCTGAAAACCTTAATATGTATCTAACAGGGAAAAAATCTATTTGGGGTTACTGGGACTGTAGAATTGTTGAGTTCCTAGGACTGAAGGTCAGAAACCACAAAGAGGTAGAGGAATGGGAAGGAAGTGACTAAGAAGGGCAGCATACTAACTGGTTAACTGTTATCATCACAGAAACCAACAGTAGCTCTGATTTACATTAAGTTGCTTCAACTCTAGGAGTAGTCTTGATTTCTTGGCAGATTTTCTTCTTAGATGACAGTGCTTGGCTTTCTGGCCCTTGACATTAGTAAGACCTTCTCCTGCTGAGTCATTTGTTGCAGTTCTCTCTGGCATCGTTCCTCTATGGATTATGTATTTCCCCTTCCTATTCATTAACATTGTTTTCTTGATAGATTCTGCAGCTATTGTCATTACAGTTGTAAGTACCCTTTGCCCTTGGAAATTACATGGTATGGTTAATGAATATTTTGGTTGAAATGTTTTTGTGTTACATTTTCTGATTTATTCTTAAAAATTATCTTAAGAATAAGAAATAAGAATAAAGAGTAAAAAATACATTTCTAAGAGCAAGGACCTTTGAAGTGCAGCTATTAATGTTAATAGACTTTATATTTACAATAAAGATCTCAACATTTTAAGTGAACAAAATTTACTGAGGGAAAAATAGAGTAATAGAAAAATCTTATTAAGGATGATTCAATAAGCCTTTCAACCAGCATATTCCTGGCATACCCCTATGTGCAAGAAACAAAGTTAAATAACAAAAATGTCCTAACTTGTACTTCTTCACAATCTACAGGAAATACTCTAATTGTAATGCAAACTAATAAGAGAAAGCATTATAGTCTATGTAATAGGTATGAATCTCACCTTACAAACTTACATGTATAATAAATATATTTATTATTTTCTGTATTCATGCTTAATTATTTTTTTGTACCAATCCCCATCTTCCAGACCAGCAGAAAATTGATTCTGGTAATTATTTGGTCTTTCTCTCTCATCCTCTTACCTGGGTGATTGGAATGGGAGAGAAAGAAGAGTGTTATTGTTCATTGTTTGCCTGTTTGCAGGACTCCATAGGATCGGGATCTGTGTCCTGCAGGAGAAACAAGAAGCTCTTAAATGGCTGCAGATGGTTTTCTCAGCCTAAGTTCCCAGTCTACTGGGAACTTAGTGGGTAGAGGGTGCCTGGCCATAGAGAGGCAGAGTCGTCAAATGTATGCAGCCCTGGTAAGATGACTTTGGCATTGCTTGGACTCACATCCTACGCACACCGTATCTGTGTGTGGTCTTGTGCAAATTTTTAAAAATTTCCTCAGCTTTAGGTTTGCATCTGTAAAGTGGAGATATGTATATTACCTACCTCACAAAGTTGTGGTGAGGACAAAACGAGCTAATTTAATATAAATTGCATAACACAATATTTGGCACATAGCAGTACTCAGGGAGAGTTAGCTGCTATCATTATCTTGCTGTTGTTGTTGTTACTGGAAACTGATACCATCATGCTCAAGGCATTACCAGAAAGAGTATATAGGTCCCCTTTGATCTTGGGATCTCCAGAGTTCTTTCTCTTCCTCCTTTCTCTAGCCAGGGAAATCTTTGTAATCTAGGACAAAGGCCCTATGTTGTTTACCACTTTCTTCTAGATTCTCCACCTCCAGTTGCATATCATTTTATCTTGATATTTTTTCCTAGGGTCACATATCAAAATGTCCTCAATAGCATTAGGTTAGTTGTGTTTTCTTTGTTTGTTTGTGTTTGGTGGAGGACCTTCTTCTACAAAAACAATGGCCCAGGGCCCTCCCCTTGCTTGTTTTGGGGGAGGAAGAAAAAAGGGAAAATACAGAAAGAAAAAACCATTATTTTGTATTTCAAAATGTTATTTAGCCACACTGATGCAAAGTGGTAAGAGACATTAAAATGAAAAAAAATTAACTCTCTTTGGGGAAAGAGGAAAGAAATCTCTCTGAAGGAAAAGAAAAATTCATTCGTTCTCCAATGTTTTATCTGTAGTCTTGCTGAGTGCCTGGTACATTGTAGGCATATAATACATTTTCGTTGGATAAATGAAATAAATTCCTGTAAGAAGAAATAGCATGGACAAAATTATGAGCCTTAAAAATATTTAAGTGTTCAGAGAAGTAACAAGTAGATGGAAGCACAGCTTTAAAGGATGAAGGGAGAGAAAGAATGCATGCAAAAATAATAGATTTTTTTTTTGAGACAGGGTCTCACTCTGTTGCCCAGGCTGGAGTGCAGTGGTTCCATCTCGGCTCACTGCAACCTCTGCCTCCCAGGTTCAAGTGATTCTCCTGCCTCAGCCTCCCGAGTAGCTGAGATTACAGGCACACACCCCCACACCCAGCTAATTTTTGTATTTTTCATAGAGATAGGATTTCAACATTTTGGCCAGGCTGGTCTCAAACTCCTGACCTCAACTGATCTGCCTGTCGTGGCCTCCCAAAGTGCTAACTTACAAGTGTGATCCACTGTGCCCAGCCTAGAAATTTTAAATGCTTTAAAACTAACCAGTGTGAACTCAGTGGTCTCCCTAAAATGCTTAAATTTTTCCCATAACAGAAGTATAGATTTAAGCAAGGGAGTGACAATATCAGTTATAAATAATGGGGATTATGGTACAAGACTAGATGCAAGAGAGAATAGAGAACTAGCAAGTTCTGCAGTGGTCCAGAAAAGAAGATTGAATTGTTGGATATAATCACCTGCTCCTCTGTAATAGAATTATATATCCACACTCTTGCCACAGCCTTGCAGAGAGGAGGACTAAGTGAACTTCCCCGCCCCTTCGCACTGGGCTCTGCCATGTCTTCCTTTGACCACAGATGCTAGTGGACATGACTCAGGCATAAGCTTGAAATGTGCTTGTGCCATTGGGCTAGCACTTTGAGCTCTGGGAGCACTTTTACCTTGGGGAGAACATGCCTCAGTAAGCCACTGCCCTCGAGCCTAGGCCCCAGAATGAGACACATGCTACAGGCCTGAATCCAAAATGCAGCCTGTAGCTCAGGGACTCAACTCTAGAGTCAAGCCTCACCCAAATGAGACTCATGAGAATGAAAAGATGTTGTTCTAAGGTAGCCACTGAATTTTAGTTTCCTATAGGGTACTCTGGATTCCAAAACTTGAGATCTTTAAAACTCAATACCCATCTCTTCACACTGCTGTCTCTGCCCTTGACAGTGCTTACAAGACCATTCAAAGTTTTGAGAAAGTTCTACTTTGTTGGGTGGAATCCTTGAGGAAGCCTGTTACTTTGTTCCTAGAAAAAAAATAGAATAATACCAACCAATTATTTGAAAGAAAAACCTGAACTCAATGAAATAACTGCTATGCAAATGCTCACAAAATGAAAAGGTAAGGTTTTGTAATATAAATTAGGGAATTTATCAGAAGAGTTTCCACAGATTGTGTTTAGAAAATGTTTCTTTTCACAAAATGGGTTTCGGTCATACTGTAAACATCAATTACTAAATATTTGCAGAGTTGTTGTCTAACTCTATGAATTCTTGAGCTGTAAAGCAAAGATGGAAAGAATGGTACAAAATGGGTTTCGGTCATACTGTAAACATCAATTACTGAATATTTGCAGAGTTGTTGTCTAACTCTATGAATTCTTGAGATGTAAAGCAAAGATGGAAAGAACGGTACAAATGTCTTACAGGCCCAATCATGCCATCACATCACGCTACCACCAAGAAGCTGGACTGGCTAAGCAGTACACAATCACCTGGTCAGCTGCATTCCAGTGAAACCTTGCTCAAAGCAGAAAAATCCTGTATTGCAGTAAAGCGTTGCTTAAGGCAGAAAAACCCTGTTGGGCTATGGTGTTGTGGTGTTTTTTGATGGCTCCTAAAGAGAGCACAACTTAGCTAGGTGGGAAGTTTTCCCTGAAGAGAGTGTAAATTTTCATGGTCAATCATTCTGAGTGAGCTCCAATATTGAGGCAGAAAATGAGGACCCAGGCCTTAGGTTGGGGTGAATGGGAATCTTCACTTTGGACTAGGGGTTTCTGCTGGACTCTGAGTCAGACACATGCTGGGACTTTCCTGGTAAGGAAATGTCAGCCAGCCTCAAGCTGGACCAATAAGAAATCTGAGGTTCTGTGTATTTTAACAGTAGCCATTTTTATAGCAATTGTAAGTTACTCTCTTTGTCGCACTTTCCTTCATGATGCCTGAACCTTTAATAGTTTAGTTAACATTTTATCCTGGTCTCAATTGTGCTATGGGGAGTAAGGGAGGAGGTCTACTTTTTTCAGGTGGAGAAGAGCAAGTGTCACTCTTGCCTGAGATCAGAAAGGCAGTAGTGGTGGTGGTCATTCTTGGAGGAAAAGGGAGTTGAGACCATATGTTTAGTGGTCTCAGGAGGCCGGCCAATGGCAGAGACAGCAGTGTGATGAGGAGGCCACCTGCTCCTGAGCATATGGGAGGCAGTACCCGGGAAAATCCTCAAAAGTTAAGAAGTCTAATTTCCAGTGATTAGGCTGGTATGGGCTCAAGCTATGATAATTTTGGAATTAAAAGAAAACATGATCTTAATTTATAGTTACTAGCTGGTAAAATCTGGAACACTTGGATTACAGAAATTATTGCAAAATATTTTTCAGATTTATAAAATACTTTTTCTTTAAGATGTAAAATGAAAGAAACCTCACAAGAAAATTTTAAAATCACAATCCAAAATATGATTCTCACAGATAAATATGTTTTTCACTTAAAAAAATTTTATCTTTGTAAACAATAACTAACTTGTATGGCAAATTACCACTTACCTGGACATATGGAAGGGAGGTAGATGATGGGAGGTTTTGTGGGGACCATTAGTAAGAAGTTACCTTAAAAAAATGCTTTTCTTGATGCCAAGAGCATATTAATGAGACAGAGGAAATTATATTTTTGGCTTTTTAATGATGCATTTGGCTTCTCTCTTTAAAGACTACTCTCCTAAAATTAAAACATTAAATTTGGGGGGAAAATGTATACTTTCAAAAAATGCAGGGCATTGTCTTTTGGTTAATTATTTATAGCAGCTTAAAGTCACTTCCCTTGCCAAGTAAATTGAAGAATTAGATTGAGGGGGAAAAAAAAAAAAAACCTTTGTCTCCCTGTTCAGAAAAAGAATGTATGTCTGGTGCCTTTCAATGAAGTTAGGTTTTAAATGATATTCTTTAATATCATTTAAAATATTTAAACTTGAAAATGTGGCCAGGTGCAATGACTCACACTTGTAATCCCAGCACTTTGTGAGGCCAATGTGGGTGGATCCCTTGAAGTCAGGAGTGGAAGACCAGCCTGGCCAACGTGGTGAAACCCTGTCTCTACTAAAAATACAAAATTAAAAAAAAAAAAATTAGGTGTGGTAGCACCCCTCTAATCCTAACTACTCCAGAGGGTGAGGCAGGAGAATCGCTTGAACCCAGGAGGTGGAGGTTGGGTTACCCAATCCTGCTTGGGTAACAGAGCAAGACTCTAAAAAAAATTTTTTTAAAGCTTTTTTTAAACAAAACTCCTGACGTTTTATTTATTCATTTCTAACATTTATGAAATAGAAGACTTGACAGATTTTTCCATGCGTATGGTCCTTTTGCTTTGCTAAGAGTTCTTAAATGAAAGTAAGGATTAGTTTCAGTATAATGTATGATAAGAAAAGAATATTTACTTCTATGAAATCTTTAAGAATAAAGACATTCATTGGGCACTCAGTACATTACACTCTTTTGTAGTACCCTGATATGCACATTTTATATTCAGAGCCATCTTTAGTATCCTATATAACAGAACAATTTGGTGATATATAAAATAAGAAAATAATTACACTAGTTTTCTAAGATACACATCCTTGTTTTTCATAGAAAAGATAATACAAACCTTACAAAAAGACGTTTTTTTGTTTTTTTTTTTGTTTTTTTTTTTTTTTTTTTTTTTTTTTTTGAGATGGAGTCTAGCTCTGTCGCCAGGCTGGAGTGCAGTGGCGCGATCTCGGCTCACTGCAACCTCCACCTCCCGGGTTCACACCATTCTCCTGCCTCAGCACCCCGAGTGGCTGGGACTACAGGCGCCCGCCACCACGCCCGGCTAATTTTTTGTATTTTTTTAGTAAAGATAGGGTTTCACCATGTTGGCCAGGATGGTCTCGATCTCCTGACCTCGTGATCTGCCTGCCTCAGCCTCCCAAAGTGCTGGGATTACAGGCGTGAGCCACCGCGCCCGGCCGAAAAGTCATTGAATCTTTTAAATGTGCTTTTAAATCATTCTTAAGTGATCCCAGCTCTCAACATGTCAAAAATAGGACTATCATATGTGGAAGGGCATATGGAGACATTTTTCCTTCTCAGAAAATGGAGTAACAACGGTTAATTTGGAATTTTAAGTTCTTAAGTTCTTAATATACATTTTCTCTTGAGAATCAGTATTACTTTCTTGCTTTCATTCACAAGCATAGTCCAGGGCTTCCTCTTGTTAATGTATATATATTTATAGAACATAATGAAGCCATGCCCGATTAGCCCTGGGCACTTGCAGGGCCTGGTCAGAATGGTAAACAACAGGATGTGGGGGACCTAACTCCTCAAGAATGCCAACACCCTTCTATCTAGAGGGAAAAATAAGCAACCTGTGTGCACTACTAAAAATAAATTAATTTTATTTAAAATCTATTATTTGATCTACAAAAATGGCACAAAAAATTAAATATTTCTCCTAATATAGGATGTATTAAAATGTTTCTTTAGTGCTTCTTAAATGTATATCTTTTCTTTTTTCTTTCTTTTTTTTTTTTTTGAGACAGAGTCTCGCTCTGTCGCCCAGGCTGGAGTGCAGTGGCAATCTCGGCTCACTGCAGCCTCTGCCTCCAGGGCTCAAGTGATTCTCCTGTCTCAGCTTCCTGAGTAGCTGGGATTATAGGTGTGTGCCACCACGCCCGGCTAAGTTTTGTATTTTTAGTAGAGATAGGGTTTCACCATGTTGGTAAGGCTGGTCTCGAACTCCTGACCTCATGATTTGCCCGCCTCAGCCTCCCAAAGTGCTGAGATTACAGGCGTGAGCCACCATGCCCAGCCAAATGTGTATCTTTTCAAAGTACAATAGTATCCTCATAAATAGAAATAGCTTGTGAGGAATATCAGCGGATACCAGCCGAAAGAACTTCAATGCATAAAAATGAAGTGTGTTCAGACTAGAGACCTTTCTATTATTAATGAAATGGAGCACCATGAGGAAATGCAAGGAGACAGGAGTAATAGCAAAGTCATAAATTAAATAGTGACTTAAAAGCAAGAGTTCCTTACTTCCCCAGCACATGATACCTACCTACTAAAGTTTATTCAGTGGGATATAATGAAACAGTACTATTGCTTCAAAGGAATAAAATCATTCAACGTATAGAAAAATTATTTCAATATCAGGGATATTAGGGTAAGTGAGATCAAGCACCTACTGCTCTTCTTTTAATAGCTTGTGCACCAAAAAAGACTCATGTCTTTCTTGGCTCCACACACACACAGCCTTTTATGAACCTTTATATAATGTATATTTTCCTTTCATCAAAACAAAAATTAAAGTTTATCATGAAGTTTGAAGTTTATCATGTCTGAACTTGCTACACTAGAGTTGAGCTTTGCAATGTGATAACATTATACAAATATTCATACTAAAATAGAAGTCTCAGAATATAGAGAAGGCTAATTCATCATCGCCCAAAACTGCAATAACTGTGTACAGCTTTGGATCCATCTCTGTGATGCCCTTGGTACTCCTGTAATAGCCCCTTTGAAAAACTCCCAATTAAGGTAAAGCAGTTCTTCTTATGTCTCTGTAACAAAAAGGAAAAGGAACTTTTGAAAAGAAAGTTCATTTGTAGGGCCCATTAATCTTCATTTAAGTACCTCTAGTAAAACACATGTATCATATTTATTTCTGATTCTTCAGCCCCTAAATAGCATGAAGTCCATTACTCAATTGGTTCTCATAAAAGCTTACTGAATAGAAAAATAAATGAAGTAAGTACAATTGTAGAATATCTACACTGTATCTATATATATAGATATAATGTAAAGCTAAACACAGTACCAAACACTTGGTGAATGATCCACCAGAATAATGAGTCAAATAACCAAAAGCAACAAGGTGTGATTTCTTTTATTCCCTTGGAGTCTATAAAGGATTTTTGTAGCTCAGCTAATATGTATAGCTAGAATTCTTTACTTGGTGTGGAAATGATCACTTTCAGATAATAATGGCAAACAGTTTTTCTTGGCAAATTATCAAGAAACAAAAACTATAGGACAGGCATAGTTAATATTGGGGTAAAATAATTTAAAAAAAATACCGTTTCACTGTGAATTACCAACTGATCAATGTACCTTTTGAGCACCCGTAGTGGTATACGAGTAGTTTGACCTCTCCTATTTTCACTGATCCTTCTGCCAAATTATCACTTCAGTCTTTGGAACTCCTTTTTTTTTTTTTTTTTTTTTTTTTTTTTTGAGACAGGGTCTCACTTTGTCACCCAGGTTAGAGTGCAGTGGCACAATGAGGCTCACTGCTGCCTCCACTTCCCTGAGCTCAGGTGATCATCCTACCTCAGCCTCCCAAGTACCTGGGACTACAGGCACGTGCCACCACAACCAGCTAATTTTTGTATTTTTTGTAGAGACAGGACTTGTTCCCCTTGCCCAGGCTGGTCTCAAACTTCTGGACTCAAGCGATCCACCTGCCTTTGCCTCCCAAAGTGCTGGGATTACACATGTGAGCCACTGTGCCTGGCCTGGAACTACTTTTCAAGCTATTAGATACCTACAAACATAAAACTGCTTTCTTGCATATGTACAACCACACTTGCACCCCTATCTCCACTACCTACCTCCCAACCCCAAACACATACTCTTCAGGAAAAATACAGTACTACTACTACTACTAATAATAATAATAATAAAATATTGATAGCAAGCGAATAAATGGCACACAATATATTTGAAGAGGCTTTATTTGCAAAGAAATTATGTGAAAAGGAGTGCATGGAGCATATATTGGAGCCATGAAACATCATTAAGAACCCAGAGCTATTAGGATTGATTCCCTTATGAAAAATAAAATGAAATTAAAAAGAACCCAGAGCTATTAGCTGCTAGCCATCTACCACTACCGCCATAGGCTTCGGAAGATTTGGAAGTTGATAGAAGAGGAGAGTGTATCACAGCAAGCTACTTTAAGAGGAAGGACTAAAGACTTTCTGTGGAGTGAACATAGCCAGCCTGAGAAAACTTCACACGGAAGTAAATATCATATCTTCTCTCTATTCCTTCCCTGCCATCTACTACTAGGGCTTTCCACTGGCAAAACCCAACCAGAAGACCGGGGGGCTAGAGACTATTGATATAATGGAAACAAGTCAACCCCGGGAGGAAAAAGGCAGGATAGAGAAGGATAGCAAGAGGATTTGTAGAAGAAAAGAAAAGTCATCTGACATGGCAACATTGGAAGGAGCCTGAGCAGAGCAGAAAAAGTCACTGATTTGCAGCAATGAATGTTTCATAGATGGCTCTTATCTCCCTGTGGCAGAAGGCTTTGAGTGTGAAAGACCCTGGAAATAATGGGATTCTGCTCCCAGGGAACTCAACAAATACTCATTGATCAGCAGCTACGATGTGTCAATAACTATTCTAAACAGTAGGGATTTGAACATGAATAAACCATGGACACTGTCCTGAGGAAGGTCATAGCCCAGGAAGAGAATCAGGCCCATAAACAGACAATTACAACACAATATAAAAAGTCCCATCAATGAAAATATGAACTCCTTAAGGGCATGGACTGAATCATATGCTTTTTTGTATCACCAGAATGCAGCAAAATGCCTGCCACATAGTAAGGACCAAATAAATGTTAAATAAATGAGAGGTATAGGGATTGTTCACATAGGTAAGCTCGGAAGAGCTAGGTCTGCTCTCTGATGAATAAGTCTTCAGCATATTTGTGAAATGGGCAAAATTTACAGCTCACAGGTATCTTTTTACACCTCCATTTAAAATATTTTTCATTGCTTGTTCTCTAAAAATATTTAGGGTTTCCTTTTATTGCATATGTGCTCAGTGAAGTACTCCATCAAACTTATATGGACTGCCTTCTTTCCACTGTCGTTTAAGACTTATCCCATGTACTTAGGTCCCTACTTGCACTATATATACACATATACACTTTTAAATATGCATGTGTGTTTTTAAATTATTCAGTATATAAAATATTTAATTAGATGATAAGGAAGACACATTGAATCATTGGGAAAAGGATGGTATACTCAAATGCTGTGGAACACTTAGCTAGCAATTTTGGGATGAAGGTAAAATTAAAATCTAATCCATGCCTTATATTACAATAATTTAAGATTGAATTAAGTTTCTTCTTTTTTTTTTTTTTTTGAGACGGAGTCTCACTCTGTCACCCACGCTGGAGTGCGGTGGTGCAATCTTGACTCACTGCCAGCTCCACCTCCCAGGTTCACGCCATTCTCCTGCCTCAGCCTCCCAAGTAGCTGGGACTACAGGCGCCCGCCACCACGCCTGGCTAATTTTCTGTATTTAGTAGAGACGCGGTTTCACCGTGTTAGCCAGGAAGGTCTCGATCTACTGACCTCGTAATCCGCCTGCCTCGGCCTCCCAAAGTGCTGGGATTACAGGCGTGAGCCACTGCACCTGGCCTGAATTAAGTTTCTAAAATGAAAAATAAAATGATAAAAGTATAAGAAGAAAATTTGTAACCTATGCTCATCTTAAGATAGGAAAATTTGGGTATAGAGAAAAATAACTGTTGTGAACAAAGGTGACAAATAAATGACGAGAAAAATATTTGAAACGTATATGACAAAGGCTTAACTTAATCTCCACTTCGTAACAGAGAAGAGGGCATTATGACTAGGCTTAGAAGGCAATTGGGAAAATAATGTTTCCCCAAAATACAAATAAATCCACAAATATAAACTTTCTCTCCAGTGTTCTGGCTTAGTAAATGAATAGAAAACATAATGTAAAATTATACCAAGACTAGCCAGAGTATGAACAATTTGAGGAAATACACAGGTTTGTAAAGAACGCTTACAAATCAATAAGAAAAAATAAACACTTCAATAGAAGTAAAAGGCATAAAAAAGCAATTAACAAAAAATATAACTGGACAACAAACATGAAAACAAGTTTTTATTTTTAATCTGTCAAATTGACAATGATTAAAAGAAAGATTAAAATCCAACCTGAGATAAAATGTAGGAAAATTGGCACTCACTTTTTTGGCAATACAAATTACTTCAGTGTTGTAGTCAATAGACTTTTACACTGCAAGTGAAAGATGGCCATGATATTGTCAAACAGAAGCCAAATTTTAAAAAATAAAACATACTGTGGCTATTTGATAATATGAAGGAATCATGGTTAATTTGTTAATGTTTGATATTCATATTTTTGTTTGTTTTGTAGAAGAGTTATCTTTTAGAGGAACATATTAAAACATTTATGGATGAAAATAATAGATCATATAGATTTGCTTTGAAATAATTTAGGGTTGGAGGATTAGAAGAAGGTATAGATAAAACAAGATGGCCAAAGACTAATAATTGTTGCTAGGCATATGGGGATTTCATTATACAGTTTTTCTACTTTCTTATAAGTTGAAAAAGATTTTCCATAATAAGGTTTTAAACTGTTTATATACTAATGTCCAAATTTTATTAAACAAATGATATCATATATGCATGATGCATGAAAAAAGAACTGATGAAAGATACCAAAAGTTATCTTGGGACCAATCTTTATTTTTCTCTTTAGTTCTCATACGTTCTGAAATTTTTACTATGAACCTAAGTTACTTTTGATAGCTAGTAAAATAATTTTTTAAAGATTGTAGTCAGTGCAGTCACCTTAATCTTATAAAACAGGAGCCATGAAAAATGAATTAACATATATTTTTCTAGAAGACATTTTTACTCCCAGGTAGTTCACCATTTTTATATTATTTCTCTTCACTCTACCTACTTTTAATGTAGGATTACCATGCATACTGGTCATTGTTTGAGATTTACTTTTCTTTCATAATTTATTTTCTATTCAATCCCTTTTCTTCTTCCTACTTGGTACATCTCAATATTAGGCCTTCATTTTAAATAAACTAACCACAATTATAGATTATTAACTAAATCCAACATTTTGTCCCATCATACTTTCATCTAAAACTGGTGAGAACTCATTTACAATGTAAGCTATTATATTTGTAACACAGAACAATAATTTTTAAATCTTAAGATGTTTCAGATATTCAAGCAGACACGATTGTAATGGGACTTGCTGGCAGTAATGTTAAAGTCTACCAAAGTAGAACTGCATTCTAAATGATTTTTTTTTTAATAACAGCAAACTAAATTTGTCCCCTGCAGTTAGGCAGATTAGGGTATTATAAAAACAAAAAGAAAAGTGACACTTTTACAAATGGAGTGTTGTGGGGGGCGGGGGGCAGTGAAGTGGGACCACCTCCAGTTAATTTTGAGGAACACATAAACTGTTAACCTCTCCCCACTGCAAATTTTGAAAAACACTTGTTTTGTAATAATAATAAGAATGTGATCGTTTATTATTATCATCACAACATTGTTTGGGCATCTTACGTGGTCACCAATCCTACTAACCATCTTCTCAGGTCTATATTAGTATACCTCTATTACAGTGGAAGAAACTGAGACTCAGGAAGATTAAGCATGTGGTTCAAAGCTGCACAGCCTGGATTCAAATCCTATGTCTGTCTTATAACAAAGCCTGTGCTCTTTTGATTCTACTACCTTGCATTTACAGACTGATCGCATTACACAGATTGATAGGGAATGAAGGGGAGAAATGGTAGGGGCAGGAGAGTATGCAGTGTGGCAACAGTAAAGGGAGAATAAATACTCATTTAAGCTGTGGTGGTTATTCTTATTCTATGCTTTCAGTAGTAAATGTGCACTACAGGAATTTATATCAACAACTTAAATTTACAAAGACATACCTCTTGCCGTTTGCTGCATACCAATGTGTACTAGGATGATTCATGGATTCAGAGGATATTAAAACTAGAAGAAACAATAGAGATCATCTAATGGAATCTTTTCCTTCCCTCTACACATAAAAAAGAGGAATAAGAGAATATTGTCAAGTGTTCCTTCAGCTATAAGTTCAACTGCTATTGCATTTATGATAGCAAAAAAAAATTGAGTGTGAATTTAATTTTGTCTGAAAACCCCTAAAATGGCATACATATCTATACACCAAGTATAGTAAATACCTCATATATTCAAGTAAATATGTTACAGTGGAAGAAGGGGCAAGACACTGAACTGGAAATGGAAGCACAGGGCTTTGGTTTCACTCAGGTTTCTAACAAGTTTTGTGACTTGGATTACTTCAACTGTCTTGTGAGTAAATAGAAGTAATTGGACTAAGTTCCCTTCTCTTGGGCTCTCCAAAGGGGAATAACTTGCAAGTTCTAGTATTGAGGATGCAGCTCCTTTGCTAACAGACAAGAGTGTGTTTGCTTTCCCAAACTAAAAGTAAATCCACAGGTATATACTATATCTCCCCAATGTTCTGGTTTAGATAATGAATAGAAAACAGCAATTCCAGGTATAGTGTGAACAATGTGAGGTTATCCACGGTCTTTTTAGACATTTGCACCCTAGTTAAGATACTGTAAACTTAACCGAGTAGAAAAGAAATCAGAGTGAGCAGGGAACTGATGCTCTAGGATCTTAGGTAATTGACAATCAATACAGCCACAGAAGAATCAGAAACATTGATTTATTTAAGTAAAAGAAAGTATAGCTACACAATATTTGCCCTATGTTCTCGATCAGGTTTTTAAAAACTAAATTTGGTAAAGCGCAGTGGCTCCCGCCTGTAATCCAAGCACTTTGGGAGGCCGAGGCAGGTGGATCACGAAGTCAAGAGATCGAGACCATCCTGGCCAACATGGTGAAACCCCCATCTCTACTAAAAATAAAAAAATTTTTTAAAAATTAGCTGGGCGTGGTAGGGTGTGCCTGTATTACCAGCTACTCAGGAGGCTGAGGCAGGAGAATCGCTTGAACCTGGGAGGCGGAGGTTGCAGTGAGCCAAGATCACGCCACTGTGCTCCAGCCTGGTGACAGAGTGAGACTCCGTCTCAAAAAACAAACAAAGACACTAAACTAAATTTATTGTTTTACTGCCATATTTGGTTCTATTGATTTATAAATAAGTGATATAACTTATTAATATATGGCATCTACTTTTTATGTAATTCAGGTAAATCTGACAGTGGTTTAATAGCTACTAAAACACTTGACTCATGTAGTACCTGTGGGATGATGGCATTAGCTACATTTTCTTTTTTTTTTTTGAGACGGAGTCTCGCTCTGTTGTTCAGGCTGGAGTGCAGTGGCGTGATCTTGGCTCACTGCAAGCTCCACCTCCTGGGTTCAAGCAATTCTCTGCCTCAGCCTCCAGAGCAGCTGGGATTACAGGCACCCGCCACCACGCCCAGCTAATTTTTGTATTTTTAGTAGAGACGGGGTTTCACCATCTTGGCTGGGATGGTCTTGAACTCCTGACCTTGTGATCCACCCACCTTGGGCTCCCAAAGTGCTGGGATTACAGGCGTGAGCCACTGCACCCAGCCTATACATTTTCAAAGTCTTTTAAAAAATGGCCTCAATATAAAAATATGATGTTATTTTTGTAGTAGCATCACAAGCGGCAGGCACTGCTGGAATCTGGAAACCGAATCTGCAAATCTATGACAGTCATATTTTTTTTTTACTACCCCCACTCACCAATTTGGTGATATTCCTTATACTTTTTCATTCACATATGCTTCATTCTTTGACTCAAATGACATAGTAACACAGCTGACAAGAAAAAAATTAACAATGGCTTTGTCTGCTGAGTAGTGATATAGCTTATTTTGAGGGGGAAAAAACTAGTGCTATTTTAGGACCCATTTACTCTAGGGCACTGCATTTTTCCATTATTTGGAAATTCTGTTCAAGTTTAAGTACTTCTTCACAGTGTTTTTGTTTGCTAGTGTGTGTATGTGTGCCATACTTTCAAGCATGTTAACCATAACTAGAAGTCACATGAACTCCTTTATCCACCTTATCAGATTTATTGGTAATTATTCATCCCTCTGGCTAAGAAATATTGGAAGGGCTTAATTTTCAGAATTTGAAATTGGTGTTTAGATTGAATCTCTGGAAATAAAGTCAAGCTCTGACAAATCTCTCTTTGTCAAATAAATATGAGCAAGTTAAAATATGGATGTGGCTGCATGTTTCATAGACAAAGCCCTCCTAGAAAGCCTTTTGATGTACCTACAGAGTTGGATAGCCTGGCAGTTCCATTGGCCATATTGCTATACTCTAATATATACGTATATTAATTTACTAAAACCTGAATATAATAATATATACTAACAGCAAACCAGGCAATGTTGGAAATGTCACTGGGTGTAAACATAAGGTATAGAAGCCAGAAATAAAAGAAGAGAAGGAAACAAAAAATAGAGGGCAAAGATAAAGGTATAGTAGAGACCAAAAAAGCAGGTGTAAGGGTAGCAAAGAGTACCAAAAAGAAATTTAAAATAAGATGCAGAATGGTAGTGAGAAGTATAATGTCCATTGTCACTACTTAGTAGTGTGACTTATTTCATTCTTAAAATTGACCTGCAGTTTTTTATCATAAAAGAAACTCATATTTATTACATATGGCATATTTAGAAAAATGGACTTTTGACAGGCTTTAAAGCTTCAAAAAAATGTTGGCATTATCACCCCCATTGAAGGTTAAAAAAAATAGACACATGTAGCATTAAAATATTTCCACAGTCATTCAAAAACTTTTCACAAGTCTATTCCCTGGCTCAACACAACAATGTCTTACATTGAGCAACTGTTAACATCCTTTAAAGGTAGCAATAAATAAAATATTTGTAAAACAAATAATATTGTAAATATATATAAATGAATATGTAAGTGAAACATATTCATTAAAATATTTTATTAAAATAAAGACTCACTTTGAAAAGTGAATAATTCCTAGATTATATTTTTAAAATACATATCTAGTGCTCATTTACTGCATTTTCTGAGTATGGTAAATCTAGGTCTTTGCTGAAATACTATATTTTTCATTTATTTTATTTATAGTATGTTCCAAAGCTACTTAGTTTTTAAATTAACCTATCCCACAAGTAGGCTCAACTAATACATTCTATTTTCCCGCATATGGATTAATATGTTCTAGTCCCCATTCTGTGTGTCTTTAGACCCATGAATAGTGTTCAGGGCAATATGAAAACAAACCCTTAATTAAACATAAAAATATTCTAGAGAACTACTCAGAATAGTACTGACAGATGTTCAACAGAATACTGTTTTTCTAGTAATTGAAAAGCAATTAATAGAAAAGAGAAACATGTACTTCTTGTCTCTTTTGTGCTGTAACTTGTAGCAATTTTATTGCCAAGGCTTTGTTTGTATTCTTTCATTGTTGGGGTTTACAAAGATGTTCACTCTATAATTGAAAATTGAAGATACATCTTCTCTTTTCTCCTAGAATTTCCATTTATGTCACTAGGCTTTTTAGATCATTTCTTGTTAATACCTTGGATGAACGAAATACAAAAGCTTTGAATTTTGTTGCTTACCAAAACATACATGATAGAACAGCATCTCTGCTGAGATTTTTGTATGTTGCTGAGATTTAAAAATATATATTCTTTTGGTTGGGCACGGTGGCTGATACTTGTAATCCCAGCACTTTGGAAGGCTGAAGCGGGCGGATCACTTGAGGTCAGGAGTTCAAGACCTGCCTGGCCACCATGGTGAAACCCAGCCTCTACTAAAAATACAAAAATTAGCTGGGAGTGGTGGCACGTGCCTGTAATCCCAGCTACTAGGGAGGCTGAAACAGGAGAATCGCTTGAAGGAGGCAGAGGTTGCAGTGAGCCGAGATCACGCCACTGCACTTCAGCCTGGGTGACAGAGCAAGACTGTCTCAAAAAATATTAATAATAAATAATTATATATATATGTACTTTTGATTTTTATGGCTTGTACCTTCTCGTCAAATGCAGAAAATACTTGATTATATGGTAAATTTTATGGATTGAAATTTGAATAAGATCATTTGCCTCCAAAACCCAGAATGCATTTTTTAATAGAAGAAAATAGAACCTGCAATTTCCAAAATAGGGAACTGGAAGGAAACATACCTGCCTATTTTCTCTTCACTCTAAAGGCATTTAGCATTTTTATGTTAGCCCACTACTCCCCTAGGCATGTCACTAAGTCTAGACCTGCCCTATTGATCAGTTTTTCACCTTTAGGAATTTAATTATGTTATTCCCCTAAATGGATCTTAAAAAGAGTTTGTTTGAGGTTTTTAGTAAGGAAACCCAGATCCCCCCATTTCTAGGGAACCCTCTTCTATCTAGGAAGCTTGTCTTTCCTGTTTGGGTGTGCAGCTTAGAGAGGAAATCACAGGAAGTAGTAAGGTAGGAGGGGATAGTAGCAAAGTTAATTATCAGTTTGTAGATAATCACTTTACATTTTTATTCTTTATTCAATTAGCGCCACTTTTAGTATTAAAAATATAAAACTTGCAAGCATAAATGCATGGAAAAGAGTGAAAATAGTTTTGGGCAGAGAATCTTTAGGAATTTATCTTATTACACCATGTGAAAAGCTGCTTCTAGCCTTCCACCTCTACACTGTCATAACAGACATCCAGATGAGGAATCAGGAAGAGAATAGAGCTACCGTTGCTGTTGCTGAGAGAATGCATAACGAAATTGATTTTCTTGTCTCTGTGAAATTTCACAAAGGCTATACGTTGAGACTTTGCGGCCAACTTTATATCTGTAAACTTGTGCAGTGAGTGTAACCTGACACTATATAAATAGGTGGGTAACCTGGCTTATTTAAGTTTGTGGCGTGTGAGTTCAAGTAAATTCTTTTGTCTTTGGCCAGAATAATTCTCTTTTTCCATCAATAAGTAGTCATTCATAAACGTGAATAAGACATGATCCCTGACACTGAATACTTAACAATTTCATGGGGAAGACAAACACGTAAATCAAATCAGGCAGATAATCTATCTTGAGTCTGGATCAAATAACTGGAGGGAAAAAAAAGGCACTGTGGTATCACCAATGTGGTACTTTGGGCTCTTTCAGATCATTCCAAGGGCATGATAGTTACCCTGTTGATGACCAGCAGTCTATACTGTGGCTAAAAATATAAGCCTCATCGAGTTTCTGACTAGCTTATGGCCAAGAAGCCAGGAGCACTAAGTTAGCTTCCTTTTGTGTAATGATGACTCAGACAATATCTCCAGGTGCCATTTCATTTTTATTCTTCCTAACATATTTTATATTTGACCCCAGTCACAAACTTCTCACTTTTGTTTTGTTTTGTTTTGAGATTGAGTCTCACTCTGTCGCCCAGGCTGGAGTGCAGTGGCCCGATCTCAGCTCGCTGCAACCTCCACCTCCTGGGTTCAAGCAGTTCTCCTGCCTCAGCCTTGCGAGTAGCTGGGAGTATAGTCGTGTGCTACCATGCCTGGTTTTTTTTTGTTTTTTTTTTTTTGTTTTTTTTTTTTTGTATTTTTAGTAGAGACAGGGTTTCACCATATTTGCCAGGCTGGTCTCAAACTCTTGACCTCAGGTGATCTGTCTGCCTTGGCCTCCAAAGTGCTGAGATTACAGGCGTGAGCCACCATGCCTGGCCAAACCTCTCATTTGTTATTAAGTTTTATTCTCCTTAAGTTCCTACTTTGGGTTTGAGTTTTAATTCCTAAAACTTTCTTCTGGTTCTTCTTTCAAACACACCTTATGGTCCTTCATTCTTGTATCTGACCTTAATCCTAGAATTCCAGCCCAAGCCAGATGATCAAGATCCCTTCTCACTCCAGAGAGCAGTTCAGGAAATCATGGAATAGTTCATTACATCACCATATAGCCAAAATCATTTCATATTTCTGTGGTAAATAAGTAAAAAGTAACAATAATTTTTTAAAACTAAATTTATAATCTCAGAGATATTTCTATGACATTGGCAAAACCAGGAAAAATTCAAAGGCTAAAAAAATATTTTGCAGTGTCCTGTATTGTTAGTATTCCCCTGAAAGTTTTTTTATTTTTTTGGTTGGGGAGACCCTACCTGGACAGTTTGTAATAGGAATCTTTTTTAATCATCAGACCATACTCTAAATTAGTTAAGCCCTCTAAGTAATAAACAAAAACGTTTAAACAGAGTCACATGGCTTGAAAATACAACACTTAGAATTAGTTGCAAATGTTACACGTGAAATGTCAGAGGGTGATGACATCCAGCAGCATAATTTAAGAGGAATAGTGAGTTCTTTGTGCATGGCAGCCCAGTTTCTCAATATCTATCCATTTGCCAAAAGAGCCCCGAGTGACCCAAGCAACCCTATAAAAAAAGAGCCTGTGACTCTCTCTTCAAAGCAACTGAGGTAACAAGACATGCACTGCTGCCACTCCTGATGAGACCTGAGACCTTGGACCCTTGGGCAGAATTGCTCTTCTTCACCTGGCAGGATAAGGCAGAATAATTTCCCCTGGGGGCCTACAGGTTGCCTGCACAGTGATCCTCCTCCTTCTACACTATCAGTCTGCCTAGTACTCTATCTGGAGTAGTCAGAAGCTATTTAATTCCCTTTCTGCTAGATTTTCTTCTCTACTGGGTTTAGGGTTAATTTTGTTCTAATCACATTATACACATATTTAAGAGAACTCTCTATGCACTCCTCTCTTTAATATATCTTGTCAAGGTAATTTATTAAGCCATTATTTGCTAACATTAAAGGAATAGGCTAAGTCTGTGCTTCTTCAATCAAAGCACATATACCCATGGTTTATGCATTAATGTAGTGGGTACTTAAAACCACAGAAGAAACATATCGCATCTACCAGTAAAATCTACAATTTCACTTGATGGTGAGGAATTTGCAAATCTACCCCACTATGACCTAGAAAGTACTATGTGATTTGTATCTCCTCTCCACTTTTTCTTCTCTGACCTCAACTGCTACTATTCAACCCCCTCACTCAAGATGTTCCCATCACGTTGGCCTCCTCATTATTCCTTAAATAACTCATGCTCCTTCCTCAGGTACTTCGCATTTACCGTTCATTCTGTTTGAAATGTTCTCACAGATATTTACATGGCTTCCTACCTCACATCAAGCCTTTACTCAATTGTGATTTTCTCAATGAGAATTTTCCTGACCACCCTATCAAAATTGCACATCACTATCCTATATTTCCCACCCCTTTCATGTTTGATTTCTGTTTCCTTATTTATATTTAAAGGACTATATGTTTTATTATGGCATGTTTGTTATCTGTATCTTCTTTGAAAATGTAAACTACATGAGAGCAGAGTTTTAAAAATTTCTTATAGAAAGACATATGAAAGTAGGAATAATATTACAGTGAACATCCATAGGAATAATACTATAGTGAACCACCATTATCACTCAGGTTAAAAAATTTTTAATATTTTTAGCAATCTCATCTCCTCTATCTCTCTACAATATTTTTTCCTTGAAGTATTTTCAAGCAAATCTTAGACATAAGATTTCATGTTATTTTACCTATAAAATCTTCAGTATATATCTCTTTCTGATAAAGAGATATATACTGATAAAGTTTTGTAATATTTGAAATCATCATCCCATTATCACATTAAATTAAATTAACAATAACCCTTTGTGTCATTTATTCTTATTTTGAATTCAAATTGCTCCGATTATCTCAACAATATCTCTTTACATTTAATTAATTTGAATTGGGATCCTAACAAGACCCACAAACTGCATTAGGCTTTTTATGTCTTCAATCTCTTCCCACTGCTTCTGTATTCCTCCCATGCTATTGATTTGTTGGAAACCCAGTACATTTGTCCTCTAGCATGTCTCACATTCTAAATTTGACAGATTGCTTTCCACTTAATATTTTCTATAATCTGGTTGTTATTATATACAGAGGTCTAATTAGATTCAGGTTCATTTTTATAGGCAAGAATTCTGTGTTACTTCCTGTTGTGCCTCATGATGGGGCACAAAATGAGGGGTTGGCACCCCTTTAGTGATGCTAAGATAAATCAGAAGGTTAGGGTGATATCAGCCTGATTTCTCCACTGTGAAGTTCCCACCAACAGTTTACCTGATGGTTTAGCATCCATTGATGATTATTGCCTTCATTAATAATTTTATTTAATCACTTCTTTTGCATTTATTATCTAAATTCATTAATAAAAAGAGACCTTTCTCAAGTCAATTGTTGTTCAAGTAGAATAAATGTCTGATCTTTTGTTAGCTGGCAGAATAATGAGTTGGTGCCCCAGCAAATTTCAAGTTATTTAATACCTTGGAGTTAGTTTGTTTTGTTTGGTATTATTATTTTTTGTTTTTCTGTCTCATCATGGACTCATACATTCTTATATATTTGTGTTTTGATCTAGTATAGCATTAATCTTTTTGTTTTGGTTTGGTTTGGTTTTGGGGAGGGTTATTTTTTGTTTGAGATGGAGTCTCACTCTGTCACCCAGGCTGGAGTGCAGTGGCACCATCTCAGCTCACTGCAATTTCCACCTCACAGGTTCAAATGGGTATCCTGCCTCAGCCTCCCGAATAGCTGGGCTTACAGGCATGTGCCACCATGCCTGGCTAATTTTTTAAATATTTCTAGTAGAGACAATGTTTTACCGTGTTGGCCAGGCTGGTCTCTAACTCCTGACCTCAAGTGATTCACTTGCCTCGGCCTCCCAAAATGCTGGGATTACAGGCATGAGCCACCGTGCCTGGCCTGGTCATTTATCTTTTTTGATGCTCGAGTTGTCTCAGATAGACTTCTAAGACCAACTTCAAGTGGATGATATATACATTTAATGTGACCACATTAGTATTGGATACCTTTCATGCTTTTTGGCACAAGATGTGCCAGGCTAATCTTGAACATTTTCTGTTTTAGATCTAGAATCAGCCATTCTCTAAGGAGACTTGATTTCTTTTAGTGGAAAATGGTATTTTAGAATGCTGCTATATTTTCATTGTTTCTAAGACTTTTCAGAGACCTAGCTGGGAAATTAGTAAAATATTTTATTTGGGTAGGCAAAGGGTAGAATCATGAATGCTAACTGATATTTCCAATTCAAATATAAAATCACAAGGTGTTTTACTATTTTATACTTGTTTCCTTCTTGTATGGAAACCCTTGGTTCCTAAAACATTAACGTAATTACTGAACACTTTATCTTACAATATACTTAAGTTTCAAAATGACAGTACATTTAACAGTAAGACTCCTCTTTGCAGTTTACGGGTTATTTTGCAATTCTTTTTTTGTCATCACATTAGAGATAGACAAAATACCATTTTTTAAATCACTTGATATAATTACTTTGTCCACGTGGTTATGTAACCAACTTTTTAATGCCACTAAGTTCATTTGTTTCATTATTTATTGTTTTAATTCTTTATGAATTTTTTCCTTTTTATTTAATGTGGTTTTTAATTATGTAAAACAGTCAAACCTTTATAACCAAGTACATTCTCTAAAGTCCCACCTCCGTGTCTGACTGTGCCACAGTCTTTCTCCTCTTTCTCCCCATAGGTAAGAATTTTTGTTAGTTTCTGGCTTATCTTTCCATTGTTTATTCCCAGACATACAAGCAAAGACATAATTTCGATTTTCATATCTGCTTCTATACTTATACTAAACATAGCATATTTCAAATACTATAAACTGACCTTGCTTTTTTCAACATAGCAATACATATTAAGATATTGCAAATGGGCCAGGTGTGGTGGTGCACACCTGTAATCCCAGCACTTTGGGAGGCCAAGGCGCGTGGATCATGAGGTCAGGAGATCGAGACCATCTTGGCCAACATGGTGAAACCTCATCTCTACTAAAATACAAAAAAAAAAAAATTAGCTCGGTGTGGTGGGGGGTGCCTGTAGTCCCAGCTACTCAGGAGGCTGAGATAGGGGAATCACATGAACCCAGGAGACGGAGGTTGCAGTGAGCCGAGATCGCGCCACTGAACTCCAGCTTGGGTGACAGAGCCAGACTCTGTCTCAAAAAAAAAAAAAAAAAAAAATACTGCAAATGAAATTATATGGAAATCTTCCCCATTCCTTTTTATATCTACAAAATAATCCACTGGGTGAATGTGTCATATTTTATTCAACCCTTGCCTTATTGATGGGCATTTGGGTTGGTCCTTTTATTATTACAAATACTATAATATTCGTATGTATTTTTGTGTATGGCATTTTGTATTTTTTTCAGTACATCTTTAGGATTCCCAGAGATGAGATTACCAGGCCAAAGGGTAAACACATATGTAAATTTTCTAAATATAAGGCACAGATTTTTTTTTCCAGAATCTAGAAGAGTGTCTCAATAATGTTATATAATTGATTAATTTTATATTCTCACAAATATAGTGTAGATGGGTAGCTTTCAGGTTTTTCTAAGGAGGACTCATAGAAGAAGGATATTTTGGCTACCATAACTTGGTAAACCGACATCAAAAGCACCTAACTACTATAGATATGTGAATCTTAGGCAATATTTCAAAAATTAATATTATTCCAAGAGGGAGGTTCAAGAGAATGGGCATTTAAAGTTGTATTCTAATTTTCTTTGATAGATGAAATCTCTAAAGTTTTCTAAATGTGATAGGCTTCTGAGAAAGACCCTACCTAGGATTAACAGAGTTAATACTGATTATACTAATATCATTTATTTGAAAGGCCTTAGCTGATTTTCTTACATTATTAAAGGGCCATCTGGGAAATTTACTTCTCACTTTTTCAGGATGCAGATAGCAGCGGCTATATGCTCCAAAATGAAGTGGAAATGAGGCAGACTGTAAAGAAAATACTCCATCTAGGATATGTAACTATCATTAATAAGATTACTCAACTTATCACTAAGACTGTCTTTCAATAGATAATCAGTACTTATTCTACTGACAAGGTACTTGACATAGGATAATATGTTTAAATTCTAATGGTGTTCTAAAAAGAGAATAAAACTTATCTATTTCTCTAATATAATCCTGAGATTGATTAACTCTAAGTTTAGATGAAATGTCTCATTTTTTGAAAATAGAACAATCATTTGTCAGAACTATTTAGATTAATATATTTTCAAACTCTACACTTTTTCAGCAATTACACAATGTCTTTTATATTGATATATTGGTAGTTGTGATAGTGACAGGAGGCAGTCAAATGCCTAGGCAGATAGGGGCAGGTCCCCAGTGAAAACCAACCTCCAAGCCAAAGAGAGTTTAAAGCCTGAAAGCCAAGCTACAAGTTAAATCCTCAGACCAGATTAAGAACTTGTCTTCCTGTTTGGTGTGCTTTCCTCCGATTGGACCCCACTGTTCAGCTATTTTACATATACCTACCATTTCCTAATCGGTTTTCTACACTATCATGCCCACTTTTGAGCAGTGTCTTTGCTTTAACCTTTTTTGCATACTCACAAACCAATCAGCATGCACTCCCCATCCTGTGCCTATAAAGACCCCAGACTCAGTCAGTAAAGGGGGAGATGACCTGACTACAGGGTAGAGACAACCTGACTTTGGGCAAGAAAACCTGCCCTTCTCCATTCCCTCTCCGACTCCATTCTCTTCTGAGAGCTGTTTTCATTGCTCAGTGAAATTCTTCTCCTTCATCCTTACCCTTCAATGTCCAGTGTATCCTCATTCTTCTTGGGCATGGTATAAAGAGCTCAGGAACTGCTGCATGTGGGTATAAGCTATAACACAGGCAAGCTGGGGCACTCAAGTGTGGTGGAGTGAGGCCTGGGTGGGGGGGCATTGCCAGCCAGGGGTCCCTGGCTTGCAAAATGACCGAGAAGAAAAATTCTACATCAGGTGTATTATAAGAAAACAAACTCACCAGTATGAAATTATTGTGAAACAAACAAATACACCATTGGCTAGCTAAGTTTGTCTGTAAAAACTTTCTATTTAAATTCTTTTCCCCTTTGCTGTCCCTTGACACCTTTAGATATCTGTTCTGTCATATCATTTCATTGCGTCTTTGCAGTCATGAACTGTCAGAATGTACTAGAATTAAAATAATTTAAAAATGGGAATGTACTCTGGCAGCCAGCATGTAAAATGGCTTCCAATGATCACCTCTTCCTGGTGTAAGAAACTTTGTGTAATCCTCTCCCAAATTATACCAGAGTTAATCTGTGTGACCAATACAATATGGTAGAAATAATCATCTCTGAGATTAGGTTGTCAAAGACACTGCAGCTTCCAGTTTGAATGCTGTCTCTCTCCTTCAGATCATTTGGCCTGGTTGCCATGTTGTTTACAGCAAACATTCTTTCACACACTGAATTGAGCTCAGTAACTAGTAGGCTTCAGTCTTAAAAAATATGTGAGATAGGAAACAAGGTGTTGGCTTGCATACCTGTACGTAAAGCTCACACTCAAAGGTGCTCATGAGACAAGGGACTCATAACATTTGCTCACCAAATGTGCCCATATCCTGGCTTGGAATTTAAATCCAAATTAGCCACAAAGTCCTGGAAAATCTAAGGAAAAGGTAAATAAGTAAATAACATCCTGGATTATTGGTTCTGACCGATATCACTTATAAATGTCAATGCAAAATCTTAAGGGTTTTGTCTTGCTTTGTTTTGTTTTTGAGACAGAGACTCATTGTGTCACCCAGGCGGGAGTGCAGTGGTGCAATCTTGACTCACTGCATCCTCAACCTCCCCAGTTCAAGTGATTCTCCTGTCTCAGCATCCCAAGTAGCTGGGACTAGAGGTGCTCGCTACCACATATAGCTAATTTTTGTATTTTTAGTAGAGACGGGGTTTCACTATGTTGGCCAGGCTGGTCTTGAACTACTGACCTCATGATCCACCCGCCTTGGCCTCCTAAAGTGCTGGGATTACAGGCATGAGCCACCCTGCCCAGCCAAATCTTAAGGTTTAACAATTACAATCCAAAAACACCTTTAAAGAAACAACTGCATTAAGAAAGAGATTCTAAAAATTCAAAGATGGCTTAATATTGGAAAATTGATGAATATAATGAATTATATTAAAAGATTTCAGGAGAAATGTCATATGAGTATCTTCACTGATGTCAAAAAATTCAACACCAATTCTTATTAAGATCACTCAGCTGAATTTTTGCATTATATATCTATAAAATACATACATATACAAACATATCTCAGCATATATATGCACAGATATATATAATATGTATACACATATATCTGTTTATAAACATATATACATGTGCATACATATAGGTATTTATATTTATAAACCTGTATGTACATATACATATGTAAATATATGTATGTATATATTTATATGTGTCTATATATATTAGAAAAAATCAGCATCATAGTGAAAGGAAAAACACTGGCATTATTTTCACTTAACTCAGGAAAAAGGTAAGGATGTGTTTTGTCATCACTGCTATTTAATATTACACTTGAAATATTAGCCAACATGATAAAAATGAAAAAAGAATTACACATAGAAGTATTTTTTATTTTGTTGCTTTCCCAAGCAAAGAAGAGTCTATACACAGAAATATTTTAATGGAGAAAGTAAAACTATCACTCTTTGTAGATGGTATATTGTATAACTGAAAACTCAGAGAGAATTTCCCATAAACTAAAAACAATAGGAAATTCAGTGAAGTAGTAGGGTATCAAATTAATATATATGTATCAATAGTCCATTTTTACAAGCAATGACCTGAAAGAGGATAAAATAGAAGAAAAGACCTAATGCAAAACAGCAACAAAAAAATATAAAACGATTAGGAATAAACAGTTATTCCTAAAATAACTTGATACTTAACTTTTTTAAAATCCATAATTTATTTTTGCAAAAATTTAAGTACTTTTAAAGGACCTAAAGTAGATTTGAGTAAGTGAAATGTCATTCCATGTTTGTAGATGGGAAAACACATCATTAAGATATTAATTCTACCTAACTTGATTCATAAATTCAACAAATCTCAATAAAATTCCAAAAGAATTTTGTAAAAGAGGTGGCCAAACTGACATCAAAGTTCATCTAGAAAAGTTATAAATAAGGAGTGGCTAGGAAAACTTTTAAAAAGAAGGGCAATAAGGAGCAACTAACCTTATCACATCTTAAATTATATTATAAAGACTTGATCATTAAAATAGTAATGTTACATAAATAGAAAAACCAATGGAGCAAAATAGAAAGTCCAGAAATAGACTCAAACGCACACAACAATTCAGTGGCATCTGAAATCAGTGAGATAAAGAGGGGCTTTTAAATAAATGCTGTTGGAAAAATTGAATAGCCCAGATAAGGGTGGATCACACTAAGATAAATTCTCAAAGGATGTACGGTTTCAATGTAAAAAGTAAGGTTACAAAAATACAAGAAGAGTCCAGGTGTGGTGGCTCTAGCCTGTAATCACAGCACTTTGGGAGGCCAAGGTGGGAGGATCACTCGAGCCCAGGAGTTTGAGACCAATCTAAGCAACATGGTGAGACCCCCATCTCTGCCAAAGGAAAAATAAGTAGCTGGGCATGGTGTCTGCAGTCCTAGTTACCTGGGTGGCAGAGACAAGGATTGCTTGAGCTCAGGAGTTCAAGGCTACAGTGAGCTATGATCATACCACTGCACTCCAACATGGGCAATACAGTGAGACTGAGGGAGGGAGGGAGGGAAGGAGGGAGAGAGAGAGAGAGAGAGAAAGGAAGGAAAGAAGGAAGACAGAAAAAGGAAGAAAATAAATGAAAAAATAAAAATAGTTAATAGCTCTGATGATTTAAAAAAAAATTGAGGAAAAGACAAAAAACTCCAATAGAAAAATATCCTTTGCAAATTGGCAAAGGATATCAATAGACAATTCACAGAAAAAGAAATAAAAATTTCCTTTTGATATGGTTTGGCTCTGTGTTCCCACCCAAATCTCAACTTGAATTGTAATCCCTACGTATTGAGAGAGGGACCTGGTGGTAGGTGATTGGATCGTGGGGGTGGTTTCCCCCATGCTGTTCTTGTGATAGTGAGTGAGTTCTCAGGAGATCTGGTGGTTTAAAAGTGTTTGGTACTTACCCCCTGTATTACTTTCTCTCTCTGCTGCTGCCATGTAAGTTATGCCTTGCTTCTCCTTCACCTTCAGCCATGATTGTAAGTTTCCCGAGTCCTCCCCAGCCATGTGGAACTGTGAGTCAATTAAAACTTTCTTCTTGGCTGAGCATGGTGGCTCATGCCTGTAATCCCAGCACTTTGAGAGGCCAAAGCAGGAGGATCATTTGCGCCCAAAAGTTCAAGACCAGCCTGGCCAACAACATAGCAAGACGCTGTCTCTAAATGAAATAAATAAATAAAAATAAATAAAAGAAAAACTTTTTTCTTTATAAATTACCCAGTCTCCAGTAGTTTCTTTATAGTAGTGTGAAAATGTACTAATAAACCTTTAAACATATGAAAAATTCCTGTACATCAAAAGACATGATAAATAGAAAAATAAATTCAGGAAGACATCTACAGAGATTATCATCTGCAGTCACCCTAAAATTAATAAGAAAGGATGAAAAACTCACTAGAAGAAAGGGGCAAAATACTTGAACTGGCAATATTAATTGCCAATAAATATATGAAAAAAATTCCATTTCAGTACCAATCAGGAAAGTGCCAATTAAAAAACAATAATACCCTGTTTTGTACCCATCAACTTGTCAAAAATGTAAAGTCATTGCTAAAAGTTAGAGACAACCGGCTGGGCGTGGTGGCTCACGCCTATAATCCCAGCACTTTGGGAGGCCGAGGCGGGTGGATCACGAGGTCAGGAGTTCAAGATCGGCTTGGCCAACATGGTGAAATCCTGTCGCTACGTAAAACTACAAAAATTAGCCGGGCGTGGTGGCGCGCGCCTGTGGTCCCAGCTACTCGGGATGCTGAGGCAGAAAAACCGCTTGAACCTGGGAGGTGGAGGTTGCAGTGAGCCATGATCGCGTCACTGCACTCCAGCCTGGGCAACAACCTGGGTAACAGCCTGGGCAAAAAAAAGTTAGAGACAACCTAAACATCTATAAACATAAGATGAATCAAAACATTGTGTTATATTCAAACAAAAAACTGAAATAAAGCAATGAAAATAATGTTGAGTGAAAATGTAAATTTTCACAACAGTATATAAAATTTCAAAACATGGCAACACTAAATTTTGCTTTGAGACACATATATATGTAGTAAACATATAAAAATGTAAATGGGAATGATAAACACAAATTCAGGATTCAGAAGGAAAAGCAAGGGAATGGGATTGGGAGATATAATTAGGGGTCCAATTATGTTTACCATGTTCTGCTTCTTAAGCTAAATTATAATAAGTACATACATTTTCATTTTCATTTTCTCTGTATAGTTCTTATATGTCTGAAATAGCTCAGGAAAAAAGAGATTAAGGGGAGGAGAAACAAACCTTTTGAAATCAGGACAAAACTTAATTCCAACTTCATCTCTGCAACATACTCACTGTGGAAACTTGAACAGATTACTTAGCTTCCCTGAACCTCAGTTTCCTCATCCATAAAATAAGGACAATAGTATACATATATATATATATTTTCTGAGATGGAGTCTCACTCTGTCACCCAGGCTGGAGTGCAGTGGCGTGATCTCGGCTCACTGCAACCTCCGCCTCCAGGGTTCAAGCGATTCTCATGCCTCAGCCTCCCCAGTAGTTGGGATTACAGGTGTCCACCACCACGCCCAACTAATTTTTGTATTTTTAGTAGAGACAGAGTTTCACCATGTTGGCCAGGCTGGTCTCAAACTCCTGACCTCAGGTGATCCACTCACCTCGGCCTCCCAAAGTGCTGGTATTACAGGCGTGAACCACAGTGCCCAGCCAAAATAAGGATAATAAGTATTATACCAACTTCCTGAAACAGTGCCTCAGCATTCAGCAAAATAACTAGCATGTGGTATTCACCTAATATACTTGATATTTTTCCTGAATTATTTCAATAAAGTCAATATTAATGTCTGTACATATGCATTTCCAATGTGTGTGTGTGTGTATTGTGTGTGTGTGTGTATGGTGTGTGTGTGTATGTGTGTATGGTGTGTGTGTATGTGTGTGTGTGCGTGGAATATATGTATATATATATTCCACACAAACTGATATATATATATATCAGTTTCTTGGAAGCGCACAGCTGCGCTCGTGTTCTTATGACTCCAGCATCCTTTTTTTACATGTAACCTTTTAATTTTGCACTTCCTGTTATAATTTTAAACATAGAATGAACAATTTCTAGACAATCAATAGAACAGCTGCTAGGGGGAAAAATAGAAATGAAATGGCTAAATGATTGAAGGCTGACACTTAAAAGAATAGTTTTACAGTGAACAGCTGTGTATCCCAGAAATAAAATATGTGATAAATACATGTTAACAAAGAGCAAAAACTGCTGTCTGATATTGAAAATTCATGGCTACAGAGCTGAAAACTGTTGGAAATAATGACAAGATTCCAGTGTTGTTAATGTTTCAAATGGGTTATAGTTACAAGAAACAGAGAAAATAATAATAAACCCCCTTACAGAGTATAAATTTTGTGGCATAAATGAACAGTATGAAAATATTTTAGATATTTTAAGCTTTTAAAACATGTTTTGAATATTGAACAATAAATGTAGGTCACTGTAAATGGCAGTGCTCTCCTTTGTCTCTAGCAATTTGTCTCTGTTCTTGTGCTCTGCTCTTGGTCTATGAGCAGACATCACACTCTGCATCCATTTTACACACACACACACACACACACAACCATCTTTTTGTCTCTTGTCCTTTAAATGGCATAGTCCTTATATCTTCTCTGTGTTACGGGAAAGCTGTGGAATCAGAAAGCCTGAGTACCCTTCTGTGAGGTCACATTTGTTGCACAGGAGTTTTTGCCTCTCTGAGCTTTGGTTTTCTTATTGTAAAATAGGGATTAAAATGAGCTAACATATAACACAGGGCTCTGAAAAAACCTCTGAAGCATCACCCTAAACCAAATTATTATTAATGTAAGAAAACACAGTGCACTTGGTAGTAAAAGGATTCGTTTCTAGGTAGTTTTTCTCCCAGGAAACGAAACAAACCTTTAGTCTATATTGCTTCCTGTATCTGTACCTACTAGCTACAGGAAAAGCAGACGTATATAAATCTCTCTATTGCATTCCTTAGCTGATGTGTACTTCTCGTACATATGGATTGCATAAGCCTTCATTTATTCATTTAACAAATGCTAATTGAGTACCCTTTGTACCTTTCACATGTCAGACACTGTACTAGTTATTTTGGGCACATTAGGAAAAAAAAATCCTTGCCCTTTTGAAGCTTAGTGTTCCTTCTGGGAATAGAAGGAGGGTGATGGAAGGAAGCAAGAGATCATAAATAATAAATAATGAAAATAACTGAAATGTGCCATGTATTAGAAGATCATAAGTGCTATGGGAAAAAAAGGAGTACATCAGAGTAAAGGGGATGAGGAGGGTTTGGGGGAAGGGATCATCAGCTGGAGTGGAAGGAGACTGGCTGCATCATCTAATGGGAAGGTCTCAATGGGAAAATGACTTTTGAGCAAAGACTTGAAGGGTGAGGGAGTTGCTCACAAGAATATCTGGGGAAGAGCAGTCCCTGAAAGGAAAAAAACAGTCCCAAAGCCCCAGGGTGAAGCTTTCCTGGCATGTTTGAGAATAACAAAAGGGTGCTGATGTTGAGATGAGTAAGTCAGAGATTATCAGGAGAGGAGGTCAGAAAATAATATCCTGCCTAAAATTTTTGACTCTTACCAAAAATTTCCAGGGTAAACCTCTTTGTTCTGTATATTCGAAAAGCAAGAAGCCTTCCATTTTTTTTCCATTGCCTAGAATTGCTTCAATGAATACTTGACCATTTCTCAGGTGTCATACCTCATTGGTAGAATAACACACTTGGTATCCTGCCCTTTCACTATTCACCTTCATCCCTTTCCCTCTTTTATCACTATAATTGGCTTTCAAAAGCAGGAGCACCTCTTAGCCACAAATTTGTGTTAAAAGCTGTGTTTTTATCCTTCCTCTCCATCAAAGTCTCTCTAAATTGTCAGTTCACAAGAAAACCCTCTCTTTCCCTTTGTGTCCTTCATCCAGCTGCCCCAAAGAAAACAACCATTAGCAAGAAAGAAAAGTCAGTGGGTCCCTATTCCTATTGCACTACAAGGGGAGAACACGATGAACCCGAGTGACAGATCATATAATTTACAAATTGAGTCCATCTCCCCATGTTAAAGTTAAAGAAATGGAGACCCAAAGATGTTCACTGCTTTTCTTTCATCACAAGAAATCATGATGTATTGTAACCCCAATTTCCATTCATTCCTACTGCCTTCTGTTATCCCAACAAGAAAGGAAATCTTGCAACACTACTCTCTAAGACAGAAGAGGAACTGTGCTCTCCTACATCAAATTTTCTTTCTCAGTTCAGACTCTGCTTCAGTGGTTTAAATTTATATTTATCAGACAGTGCTATTTAGCACGTTGCCAGGTTTATACCAGAAAGGGTTTAGATCTTTGTGAAGAAATTTAATAAAATATAAACTCTGTCAAGATTTTAAAAAATTCAGAATATCTGATCTTTAGAACAAGATTTTTGGACAGTTATAATTGTTTTCTAACACCTTCTGGAATACATTATTATACTATGTTATAGCACATTTGAGTAATAACTTTTTCGTTCACTTTATCCAAATCCTAACATCATACAGATCTAGAATTAAATTATCTTGTTCAGGCTTCTACTTCTAAGCAGCTAAATGTCAAAATAACTTTAAAATGTTTTAAGAAGAATGAACATAGAGAAAACAACATCCGTCCAGTATGGCAGGTTCCTCTGTATGAGATCTTGTATATAATAAAAAAGCATGTTGCTGTGGAATTTAGCAAAAAGAGGGCATTTGAGAGAGCTTGCGTACTTTCCCAATAAATTCTGAAAATGTGTTGTTATCTATTCTTACCAGCCTCTACCACCAGTTTGCTTCATTCTGATTTATGCGTCACCTCCACTCTGACCCTAAACACACACACAATCTTCCTTTACAGCAACTGCTGTATTCTTTAACAACAATGGGTAGAATCATCATCACTTTACAAATCTCTGAGCAGTAGACGGACATTGTTTCTGAGCCCTTCCCTCAGACAAGATGAAGCCTATTTTTTCTACCTTGCTTGGAAAACCCAAGGCTTACACTGTGTGTGTCATCCCATGGGCTCCCCCGAGAAGAGTGAAACGGATTGAGCAAACACACTCTTACAAAATTGTCTTGTGCCAGTTTTCAGGATCCATATGGCTCTTCTTTGACCAAAATAATTATATTAAGCAGTCAATGACAAAGGATAGAGGAAAATCAAAAGTGGACCACAATCATGAGAAATATTAGCAAATTTGACTATGTAATGAGTTTGTCTTTGTAAAACTACAAAACTTTCATACATAAAAAAATCGTAAATACATACAGTGTATCTCTGGAAGAGAACACAGGAACTGTATTTCAGTGGTTGTTTCCACTTAAGAGAACTGAGGGATTCATTTTAAAGGGAGCAGCCTATTACCCTGACATAGTATAGCAAAAGGCATTCTCATCAATTGCTGGTGAAAGTCTAAATTGTATGGCCTGTTAAAAAAGAAAAAAGCAATTTGCAATATCTACCAAGAGCCTTATAATTTTCATGACTTTTATCTCAGTAATTCCATTTTTAGGAATTTAATCTTAAGAAATAATCTAAAATGTGAAGAATAGTTCTTATGGCAAAATACATTGCTGAAAGTATTTTTTATAAAAGTGAAAATATGGGAAAACTTAAAAGCCCCAAATTAAGGGAATGGTCATAATAAAGTATAGTTCAATCACATAATAAAATTGTATCTAGTTGTAGATTTAATAAGGTTATGCACATGAAGTAAAATGACTATTTTTGTTTAATTTACAGAATGATCTTGACTAAAATGCTTTTATAAAGATTTGAAGAAAATATGCTGAAATGTTAACAGTAATTATCTTAAGGTGCTAGAATTTGGGACAATACTTATTTTCTTTTTTAAACTTTTTATTTTCCTCAATAGAAGAAATACAAAAAATGAAGTTTCATTTTAAACAAAAAGGACTGGAGGTGAAGTGGGGAGGGAGAGAGAGCGATGAAGAGAGAAACCATTTTTCTTCACCATAGCTCCCAAGCCAAACACCCAAAGAGCCAACGTCCAGGAAATACAAAGCAATTACTACATCCTCGAATGCCTGCCTGCTGCAATAGACACTGTTGATGCCTTTGTATAAGTCATCAAACCCCTCCCCTATCTGCTGCCAGGGCAAGACTAGTGACTGACACCTGTGACTTTCTCCAGAGATTTGCCCTTGGCTGACTCAGGAGTACAAAACCAAACACCCTTACCTCAAGCAAGGATAACTTTAAGATGCAATTATTCTCCCTGGCTGCTGTGGACCAGGCCAGGACTAGGCAACCCAAGATGACATCCTTCTTCCTCCACTCACTGGTAGGATTTTTGTAACAAGCACTCCCTCAATGAATCATGTGCACCTGGGTTCTTCTCTCAAGCTCTGCTTCTAGTGGACTGGCCTGAGACATCTACCACAGGCAAGGCATGATAAATACCTTGTCTCTTGTTTGGCTAAACAAAATGGCCATATATAATTACAAAGTTAATTTCTGATTAATGCCACCAGTGATTTGGTCATAATTGTTCATTGTAGATTACAGATACAGTAGCCAGGAGGGCTTCACAGGAGAGTGATAGTTTATGTAGAGATTAGGGAAGCATTCTAGAAAACAAAAAAGAAGAAATCACAGGGAATGTCTGAGCAATACCTGAAACTTTTCAAAATGCGATATGCTCTTCTCTTCAGGGCAGCTGCAATACAAAGAGAAGTGCCTTGGTTTCAGTGGCACCAGGCTTCCTTGGCCCTTCTCTTACTTCTCTACTGGGCCTCTATTCAATTCTATTTGTAGGATTCTCTAGTGTGCCCTCCATGAATGTTGGTGTACCTCAAGGCTCTACCCTTTGCCTTTTCTTCTTGTCCACACTGCCTAGGCAGTTTCATCTGCAAACATGTAACTATCATCTATAAATTCATCTATAAACACATACCCACATCCCTGCTAAGCTCCAGGGCCCTATGCCCAGTAGCACACTCTCCACAGCAGCTGAAAAGTCACTCATGCACCTTGCAGTTATCATTCATCACAATTGAACTCAACACCCCCACACCTACTCTACCTTCAAAATTTATTATCTCAGGAAAATATACCATCATCCATGTAGTTACATAGGACAAATCTCAAAGATATCTTAGGTTTCTCTCTCTCTTTCCTATCCAGCCCCAACATCCCACATCAAATCAATTACCAAGATGGTCAATTCTACATTTCAAGGCATCTCATAACTCTCCCTTCCATTTCCTTGAGTCTGCCCTGGTTCAGGCATTTATCATTTCTCACTGAGATTACTGTGAAAACCTCCTTAACAGATTTCCCAAGCCTTGGTGTTGTCCTCATTCAGTCCATTCTCCATAGTACTGTCAGAATGATATTTTTAATGCAAAAAGATGACTATGACACTCTCAAGTTTCAGACTCTCAAAAGTTCTCAACTACTTTAGGGCATAAAAATCTAATCCCATTTGCATGGCATGAAAAGTTCTTCTCACTCTGATTTTGGCCTATTTATTCAGGGTTATCTCTTGCCACTTCCTTGCTCAGACTTTACTCCCCTGAAATACTGAACCATTTGTAGCATCATGAATGATTCAGGTTCTATATGTTTGCACCTTTATTATACACTACTCCCTCTATGGCGGTGTTCTCCTCTGACTCTTTCCCCTTTGTCAAAATACCTCAAACACCTTTCATTGCCAGCTCAGTCATTATCTTCTTCATAAAACCTTCTCTCACTCTTGCAGGTAGGGATAGATAATCCTTTTCCTGTTTCTCTGTTTTTTGTACATACATTTATTATAGCAGCTATAGAAATATCTCTTTCAGATATTATCGAAACTAATTGATTGGAAGTCAATGGTACTGTTTATACTAAAAGAGTATCATACTGTATTCTCTCTGTTTGCATGGTTATCTCCTTAAGAAACTGACTGCTTTGACAATGGGACATAGAATCTTCATCTCTGTAACCCCAGAGCCTAATATAATCACAGGGGCCCACTAGCTCTCAGTTAACATTTATTAAATTAATGAAACCTTGTATTATCTGTATCAGTCATGCAATCCATAATGATCAATAATATCATAGTTGTTACCCTCCACTTCCCACTGCCAACATATCCATAAACAAAATGAGAATAATTCAACCTATTTTGTAGTGTAGTTAAATTTTTTTAAATGAACTAGATTTAGGTATGCCTATTTGTACATAAAGATAGGGCTACTGGCACAGTTATGAACCAACTGAATTATATCTTGGTATATCACAACGATTAATATTGATGTAAAGATAGTAAGACAAAAAAACATTTCAGGTCAGATTTAAGATTTTACATGAAATTATCACTGGTGGAAAACCAACAGATTCCATATCAGATGGATCCCAGGAGAAATGTGGGACTGACACAATGTGGAATAAGAATTACAGAGTTTACAAAATCAGTGTCAGCAATATGCGTGTGTGTGTGTGCACGCACACGTGTGCGTGTGTGCATATACACACACATACACCAAGCTTCAGGCCATTTCTGTATTTTAAAAATAATTTTGACTAAGCTGTTTTAAAAAGACAATCTGTTAAGTTTATGCATCCTAGCTCAGCTGAATTACATCCGAGGGCAATGAGAAAAATTGCTGGCAAGATCACCAGACACTGTTGGAAGACTATTTTAGATCGTTATTTGGAAGCTGTTTGTACACAGGCACATAACAGCTGCACTCCACTTCAATCCAATTCGGGTCCTTGCAATTTACTCTAGGATGTGACAATCCCCAGTAAACTACATGAGAAGAGAACAATGCAATCATTATTTACCCAAACTGTAATGCATTCCTTATTCCAGGAGTGGAATTAAATAAATAACTGAATGGAAGGGTTCATGTGTGAAGGATTGAAGTGCCTGCACATGCAACTTTTATTTAAGGTTTGTGGTAGAATGATGCAGAAAATGATTTTAATATTGAAGAATTTGAATACTAGTGGAGTTTTTTTTTAAAGCATGAAGATTAAAACCACTTAATTCCTGAGTATTTATTAATGTCATATAACTCTGGATAACATACCAAAAAACATACAGGAAGGAGAAACAGCTAAGTGATAGACAAGAGAGAGAAAATTCACCTTAAACAACTCGAGCATTTCCTCTAGGAAAGAAGAAAGACCGAAAGAAGGAAGGAATCCAGAACTTGTATAATACCCTATACAACCCACTTACAGGGTGTTGGCTACCTCCTGGCCAGGAGGGCAACCGACAAGCCCTTGCCAACCCTAAAGGCAGAGGCAGCATGGCTCACCAGGAGCATACACTTGGAACTCAAAAGTTCCGGGATTTTGAAATTCACTTGTATTATTACCAGCTGAGACAATCTGATCAAAATAATCTTTTCGGTCCCATTTCTACGTATGAAAATTAGCTTTGAAATATGATAATGCCTTGCAAGGTAAAATAATATATTTTCTGTTCAATAAATGTTTTTTTTTAATCTTTCAAGCTTTTATTTAAATGCCATGATCCAGGATAGATTTTAGATCTTGTTGAAAGCAGCCACATCCATGGACTGCACACAGTCCTCAAAAGCAGTGAACTGCTCCTCCAACAATAAATGTTTTTCTAAGTGCTGCTCAATAAACTACACCTTTCCTTTTTCTCAGAGCCGCAGAAAAAAAAAATGGTACATATGAAGCAAAAACTACCTCCAGTTGCAAACTTTATTTTCTGAACTCTTCAAAGATTGTTGTCAGTGATTTTTAGATGCATCGGATATTTGTAGTTCTAGGAATCCTGCAAGTAAAACTAAGTCTTAATTAAGACCTCTAATGAATGTAAGACTCACTGTAGAAAGAGTGCAACTAAGTTTCATGCCCTAAGAAGGCTGTTTGGAAATATTTCTTTGTATTCAGGGAGTCAGATAAAGTTAGGTAACTGTAGGTTTGAATATTTCAATGCAAGTGAATAATATGATTTTTAAAAATGATAGCACTCATAACCCACATTGCTCAGGCCATATTGGCCTGAGGGAACAATTAAAACAATTCGTCAAGTAATAGTATGGACAACGTTCAACAGCAAAACAGATGAAACCCTAGCCGACAGGTCATTTCTTTATTAGTTCATTCATTCAACAAATGCTGAGCCAAGCACTCTCCCAGGCACTAGAGGTAGGATGGTGAGCAAGAGTAGACTAAATCTTTTATGAAGGAGAGAAATCTGGCAAATAACAAAGAAAACTTACCTAGATTTGAGAAAGGGGGAGAATTGCAAGCAAGACAAGTGTCCCCATGAAAGGACACTTGAGCTGACTTATGATGAGTCAACTGTTAACCAAATAATAGTAGGGAAGGCTCAGAAAGAGCCTTAAGGACTCTTCTCAAGGTGTGGAGAACAAATGATGGGGGTGGGGGAGGCAAAGCTAGATGAATTAGACTATTGTGGTAAATGGCAAAAATCTAAGTACATTGTAAAGACTTTTAGCCACCCTTCCCTCTCTGGAAGCCAGGAAAAATACTTTCTTTCCCAGAGAAACTTGTCCTCTGTAGTGGAGATGAAAGGATGTGGATTAATTGAATATTTGGAAGATAACATTGATAGGACATAGGAATAGACTGGATATGAATACCAGGCAAAGAGTAGTCAAGAGTTTGTATAGCTGGACAAATGAGAATGCTATTTGTTTAGGAAACACTAAAGATGTTTTCTTATAAATGAAATAGGTAATATATTCTGAACATTTTCTATGCAATAAGCACTGTTCTAAAAGCTACACACATTTTATGCAGTTTGTTCTTTATAGAAATTCTGTGATGTAGGTACTATCTTATAGACAAGGAACTGATGCAAAGAAAGATTAAGCAACATGTCCACTTTTACACAGATTTTAAATAGTGGATGCAGGTATTGAGTCCAGAGTCCATGCTTTTAGCCACTGTGCTATGCTGTCTCCCACTCAGAAATGGCCTCCACTGTCATGCCACCAAATCTGTTTCACTTGAGTTGCTCAAACAAAAGGAAGTTTCTCTTTCTGGCTTTCACTCTTGTAATCACCTCTGATGTTCACAATAGCTTCCCAGTAGCTAAATTGCTGTCAATGCTCCAGGCCAAAAAATATTCCTGTCTCTGTGTTAATTTTCCCTCTCTGGGCCATAAATTATCACTGTAACACAAAGTTAATAAAGGCAGAGATGAGGATTTCAATTTGCATTCCTATTGGTCAAATACAAGTTCATGGACAAAATGAATTGTCTTAGTCTGCTAAGGCTGCCATAATAAAATACCATAGAATGAGTGGTTTAAACTACACACATTTATTGTTCTTAACAGCCCCAGAGGCTATATGCCTGAGAGCAGGATGCCACCATGATTGGTCTCTGGAGAGGACTCTCTTCCTAGCTTGCAGAAGGCTGCCTTCTGACTATATAATCACATGGAGAGAGAGAAAGAGGGGAAGAATTATGGGGAGGGGAAAGAAAGAGGAAAAGCAGGGAAGGAGGACAGGGGGATCTCCTTACTCTTGTAAGATCATCAGTCCTGTCAGATTAGGACCTCATCCTATGTCCTTACTTAACCTTAATTATCTCCTAAAAGCCCTATCTCCAAACACATTAGGGGTTAGAGCTTCAATATATGAATTGGAGGGGGATGCAATTCAGTCCACAACATGGATCCAGGGGTCTTCTTTAAAAAAAAAGAATGGAAGATTAGTTCAAATTCACTCACAGGCCCCTGAAACTTCTATTTCTCCATCATTACAGTAATTTTGCCTTTGTTTGGAGGGAGCAGTTCATTAGACTTTTGTTTAGATCTAAATTGGGTTGGAGGTGGAGTGAAGGTGCAGGGAACTCACTGAGAAAAAAAAAAGACTTTGGAAGCAAATCTTATTTCAGTGAATTTGACTGAATACAGCAGAGTGCATCCCTGCAGGAAGTGGTGAAAATTGACTGCTCTGGTGGCTTTGGAAACCCCAAACCCTCAATCACAATCACAGTGATGGTCATCAATGTCTATGTCAAACACTAGAAGATAAGAGGACTTGTTCAATATGGTAGGTGCAAGACCTCCCAGGGACTCAAGGAATAAGTAGAACAGGATTTAAAGGAGTTGGAAAGCCCAAGAAAGCAGGTGGTGATATCTTCTAGAGAAATCACCAAGACTATGATTCCCCATACCCCTTTCCCAGGCTGGTGTAGCCTGGGAACACATAAATTATATCACCTGTAACTTCACCCTGGTTGGCATGACTCTAATTTTAATAGTCAAATATATACTCAAATATTCTTCTTCTACTTATGTTAAACTCTAAGAGCTGGCCCCAAACAGAATATCCACATATTCTCTCTTTTCTTTGTTTTTTTAGTAATATAACTCTAAGTACATCCCCTCTGCTAGGATAACCAATCATTGCAGTTTTTCCAAAACTGAGGGTTTTGAGGGGAGCAGTCCTTTCAGTGCGAAAACCTGCATAGTCTGGGCAAATCAAGACACTTAGTCATGCCAAGTCTAGCTCCTACTCTAAGAAAGTAGGAGACTCTTGCTAGCGTAGGACCAGAGAATATACTGCTCCTATGCCCCCCAAAACAGAGTGCCTGAATCCAGTAAAAATCATTCTGATTTCACCCAGTGAGATCTTTCTTCTTCCTTAGACCTCTGAAAGATAAAGAAATTCACTATTTGATGTGGCTTAGAACTCTGATCCCTGGTGTTATTTACAAAAACAGGTAATTTGCTGATTTGGATTTTTTAAAGAAATTGCATTAGAATATTTTTTATTTTAATTACTGAGTTTTGGGTGCCCCCTTAAATTTTACACTTGGAGCAAAGGCCTTACTCACTTCACCCTATTCTGACTTTACCAATAAGTAACTGGCTCCAAGTGATTCCTGGTGGCCAGTCACCAGCCTCTGATGGTTCAGTCCTCCTTGCTCCCATCAAGTGCATCAAACTCTCTGTCAGACTAAACTGAGGTCCCTCCAGCCTGCCACGTGTACCCTGTGATACCCAAATCTGCTGTAGTTTCACAATGATAAGCTTATGTTCTGGTACTTTTGCTATGCTTATGTTAAAATCAAATGATAGTGATTTGATTCTTGAAAAATAAATGTACAGTATATGCTTTTAATTCCTGCAGAGATACACTATCTGAAGCAGAACACAGCATGGTGTTAGAAAGCACAGCTCTTGAAAGCAAATTAGGTCTCTGTCATTAACAACCACACTATGATGAGCAAGTTAATTAACTTTAATGAAGCTCAGTTCTATCCACTGTAAAATAAAGATAACACCTACCTTATAGAGTTGTCTGTGAAGATTATATAAATTAGCATAAATAAAGTGTATATCAGGCTAGCTGGCAGGAAAGTATGCTGTGAATGCTAATTCTCTTTCTTCACCTTTCCTGCCTGGTCTCCTCGCCACTTCTCACCAAAATCATTTTTGCAATTTTAGTATTTGTGGATCTAGAATTTTGTCTTGACAAGTGCACTGGACATATTTTCAAACGTTTTGGAAAAAAATAATTATTCTGTCATTGTACTATTAGGTTCAAAGTATAGTTTGTTTTGTATTCTCTTGAACTGTTTGTGGTGTAAAAAGTAAATAATCAGGCTAGAGAGTTCTCAAGTCCAATATGACTTTTTTTTTTTTTTTTTTTTTTTTTTTTTTGACAGAGTCTCGCTCTGTAGCCCAGGCTGGAGTGCAGTGGCGTGATCTCGCTCGCTGCTACCTCCACCTTCCAGCAATTCTCCTGCCTCAGCCTCCCGAGTAGCTGGGATTACAGGCACACAACACCATGCCCAACTAATTTTTGTATTTTTAGTAGAGACAGAGTTTCAACATGTTGCCAGGCTGGTCTTTAACTCCTGACCTCGTGGTCCACCCACCTCAGCCTCGCAAAGTGCTGGGATTACAAGCATGAGCCACCGTGCCCGGCCCCAATATGACTTTAAAAATATATATTTATTGAGCACAGTGGTTTTTCTTTTCAGATTCCCTGAATAATACTGGAACTCTACTTGAGATTTCTAAATTTTAAAGTTAGTAGAGGATGCTGCTGTGTTCAGCACTCTCGCATGACAGTGACCCTGAGGCAAAAGAACTTCCTCCCAGACTCTCTCACCTGCCCCTGTGCTTGCTGCTTAAACAGGTATTGTTCCCATATTTATTTCTCTGTAAGTTAAGACCTTTCCATCATTACCACGTGGGGGAAAAATCACTGACAGAATAAGCTAAAGTACTTTCCAATATGAAAAAACAACTCGATTTAGAAGGTTCATGATAAAGTAGAAGTAAATTATGAAGACTGCTTCTCTGGCTACTACTTTATTCAGACTATAAGGAGATAAGATTTTTTTTAACCTTGTTTTGTGCTAAAACATCTTAAAGAATGCTAGCCCTTAAAACAGACTATCATCTATCATCTATCAATAATGTCTATATTTCAGTGGGAAATACATTCAGAATCTAGTTTGTTCATTGTGATTCATTCCTTAATTAAATGCTATTATCTTTCCAACAACTAATGAAATATGCCCCAAGGCCTGGTGCCATCAGATGCATTTTAGAAAATTACTATTTTATACGAGCACAATTATGCCTATTTTAATTGATGGAGCTGACATTAAATCATCAGAAAAAAAATAGCTCTTTCAAAGGAACTAGTGAAAATGATGTTTGCATTATATTTCTTCAAAAAGTTATAATGTCATCAATTTTCAAATAATATTTTTTTAGTGACATTCATAAGAGACTCAGTTTCCTTCTCTGACCTTGATTTAATCATGTCAGGACAATCTGAGGCATGTCCTCCATGGTTGCACAAGATTTTGTCAAGTGGACAAGAGGTTGGGGCTAGAAGAAATCTTAGAGATCATCTAGTCCAACACCTCACTGAACAGAGAGTGAAAGTTTTAAAGATTCCCTAAAGGCCAAAAAGCCAGGATGAGGAAGATCCAGAGTTAGAGCCCAGGTTTCCTTGTTTCCAGACTAATGCTTATCCCACCTGTCATACTACATGATCATTGCACTGGTCTCCCAAATCTTTCTGTTCACAAACTAATTTATATAAGGAGAATGAGCACATCATGGTCCCCTTCAGAAAAAGTGATAGCTTCAAAGTGGAAAGCTTAAAGAAATGAATTCTAATAAATTAGACAATGTGAGATACAAACATTTGTCGAAATCCCAGACAAGAAGAGAAGCTCTTTTCTCTTTTTCTTGTCCTCTTTAAGAAACAAAAGAAAAATATATCCAAATTCTAAATGTCTTGAGTTTCAGGAAAAATGCTCTATTAATGAGTCAGACTTTCAAAATAATGTTAGCAAAGGAAGTGACCGTCAATGCGTGGGTGAGGCTTTTTTTTTAGAAGTCACACCAAAAACATAGCTCTATATGTGCAGTTCTGAAACATTCTCTCCCTGTCTATTCAGAGCTTCCTCGAATGTGCAGGCTGCCATGGACTAATTTAGCTTCATTTTGCTTTCTGCCCTCTTATTTCATGTATTCTGAGGTTCAGCCCAGGAGCGCTATTATTTTCTTTCAGTAGTCCATGTACCCTAACACTTCTGAGACTTTGATGTTGCTCTTTCATTTGCCTGGAATGTCACTTTAATCCTTCTTCTCCACTTGACAAAATCTTGTGCATCCTTCAAATGCCTGATTTACTACCACCTCCTCCTTAAAGCCTTTGCCAATCTCCTAATTTATAATTAGTGACTACATGCTATAGCACTTTTGTTGCGTCTCTTATAGAAATTAATCCAGTATACCTCATTCTGTAGAACTCTTGACTGTCTTCTCTGCTGTTATTCAGATCTAATTGAGGCCTAGGAAAATATCTGATTTTTATATGTGCTGGGGGCATGTTAAGTATCAGGAATTCCAGAGTAAACACGAAATAGCCTTTGTTTCAAGAAGCTGTCTCTAGCAGGCAACCTTAGATTGTATTCCCCTGTCGAAAGCAGACTGTGACACAGGATTTGGATATAAGTGTTTGGGAAGTGAGGAGTGAGGAAGTGACATAGTAAAGGAAGGAAAGTTGAAAAGGGTACATTAATCAGAAGCAGGCTTCTGCTATGGGCAACTGGGCCCAGTACTGCTGAGGACCCACTGAGAAACTATGGCGGACATGCCTCAGATTGTCCTTCTGAGATGAGGAAGCTGGGCCATAAATCCCTCAATTCTGCCCTCCTAGTTTGAAGGTTGCTCCTGAGAGGATTAATACAAATCACTTCTGGCCTGTCCTATACTCAGGCCAAGCATTTCTCCAAGTATCCAGAGAAGACCCTGAGGCAAAGACACAGGTCCTTGAGGCAGAAAGCTGTTGGCAAGTACTGCAACTGCCCACCCCAGCCACAGCTGACCTTCAGGGTGGGCCAGGAGGCTATAGGCAAAGCAGCAAGGATGCTGGCTACAAGGCCTTACACACTGACTGTTGAGTTTATTTAAACTAACTAAATTTAGTTTAAATAAACCTAGTTGCTACTCTTAACAAAATGTAAATTCTGAGAAAGTACTGAATTTATCCTTTTCTAAGGAATCTGAGGAGGTTTTTTTAGTATATTTTCCTTACTAAACTCTCTCTCTCTATCACTCTCTCTCTCTCTCTCTCTATATATATATATATATTTTATATATATATATAAAATACACACACACACACACACACACACACACACAGTATTTTGTTTTCTGTGAAATACTCAGTCAAGAAAAGATTTTGCTTTCTTGAGGAAATTAGATTTTCCTAATATAGACCACTCTTCAAGAGTAGCTTTAGAAAATGCTACTTGCCAGGAGTGTACTCTTTATTTTCCTTGAGGTTTTTTGGGAGTCTTTTTGTTGGTAGTGGTGTCACAGCAGAGTCTTACTCTGTTGCCCAGGCTGGAGTGCTGTGGTGCTATCCTGGCTCACTGCAACCTCCGCCTCCTGAGTACAAGCGATTTTCCTGCCTCAGCCTCTCAAGTAGCTGGGATTACAGGTGCGTGCCACCATGCCCAGCTAATTTTTGTATTTTTATTAGAGACAGAGTTTGAGCACGTTGGCCAGGCTGATCTCAAACTCCTGACCTCAAGTGATATGCCCCCCTTGGCCTCCCAAAGTGCAGGGATTACAGACGTGAGCCACCGCACTCAGCCTTTCCTTGAGATTTTATCTTTTTCACTTAAAAGTAATATCTGCCAATTATAAAAACATTCTAAAATACACAAGAAAAAATGAAAAATCAGCTAATTCATTGGTCCCACCAAATACTGACCCAGAAATATAACATAGAACAATCCTGTTTGTAGTCCTAAGCATTTGTCCTAATAAGATTATCTAGGCTGGGTGAAGTGGCTCACACTTATAATCCCAGCACTTTGAGAGGTCAAGGTGGGAGGATTGCTTGAGCCCAGGAGTTCAAGACCAGACTGGGCAACATGGCAAGACCCTAGTCACCATAAAAAAATTAGCCAGGCATGGTGGCACACACCTGCGGTCCCAGCTACTAAGTTGGCTAAGGCTGAAGGATCGCCTGAGCCTAGGAGTTCAAAGCTACAATGAGCCATGATTGTGCCACTGCACTCCAGTGTAGGCAATAGAGTGAGACCCTGTCTCAAAAAAAAAAAAAAAAAAAAAATGACTACTACCTATTACCTCAACTGTTAGATTATTGATAAACTTGCTGTGTTATTAAAGGACATGCTTATTAAGTGTCATTTGGTTTTGGTTTTCATAATATATGCAGTTCCAACCTTTTATTTTTGCAGACTTAAATTTCTTAAACAGAATTTGCAGCCTGGAGAAAATATTGCTTATAGTGAAGCTATGTAGAGTTTTTAAAAATATTCATTATTGGTTTCTAATTACCCTGTATTATGGTAACAGAGCATAGTCTGTCTTATATTAATATTTAGAACATTTGGAGGCTTCATCCCTGGCCTGGTATATAATTTTTGTGAATATTACATAGATTCTCAAAAACAGTTTTCTTGTCTCAGGTTTTTGAGGAATATGTGCTACCTTCTTCAGACTGAAATCTTGAATTCTAGGTGACATATCACACTATCACCTTGCATATAAACTTATTAATGAAATACTTCAGTGGTGTTCTATAACTTTACTAGTTTGGTCAATTACAATGCCCTGAGAAAAACTATACTTAGAATCCTCTCTTCTACTCATTACAAACTTGAAAGTATAAACTTCTCTAAATGTCATCCTAAGCCTGTTGAGATAAAGATTTTGCCAGAAGGACTGAAGAATAAAGGAAATGTACATCCAGAATATATAGATAGATATACATTCCCTACAATTTCAGTGCACCATATGGAGAACATGGAGTACATGCTCTGTTGGAAGGATCCTTCTGAGAAAACATACTGCTCGAAATAGAACACAAATTCACAAAGCATTCCTCAGCATTTCTCGTAAGACCAACTGTATTTTTCCTAAAGTCCTCAAGCTCCCTTAAAGTTTATAGTGAACACAGTCTTAATAAATAAAGTTGCGGCCGGGCATGGTGGCTCACGCCTATAATCCCAGCACTTTGGGGAGGCCAAGTTGGGTGGATCACCTGGGGTCAGGAGATTGAGAACAGCCTGGCCAATATGGTAAAACGCCATCTCTACTAAAACTACAAAACATTAGCTGGGCGTGGTGGTGCGCACCTGTAATCCCAGCTACTTGGGAGACTGAGGCAGGAGAATTGCTTGAACCCGGGAGGTGGAGGATGCAGTGAACTGAGATCATGCCACTGCACTCCAGCCTGGGCAAGACAGGGCGAGATTCCATCTCAAAAAATAAATAAATAAATAAAGTCATGAATGTAAACGAAGACATTTAGTTCTAGCATCTTCTAGTGATCATCAAAAGGGGATGATACAAAAACTATTTGGAAAATAATCTGTAACCAAAGCATGCAAACTGTTAAAATGTTGCAATTTTAGTAGTTTTCAATATATTTTCCTTGAACTCCTGGCTTCAAGCCAATCTTCCATCTTGGCCTCCCAAAGTGCTGAGATTACAGGCATAGCCACCATGCCTGACCTTCCAATAGATTTTTCAACACATCCTCTGAGGAACGGAGAGCTTACAAATCCAGAAATATTCCTATTACTATATGAAAAAAAAATTAAGGAAGAATAGTTAAAGGAAACAAACTCATATCCTAGTAAAAAACATCTTTTGTGATACTACTAAAAGGAGAGCTAAATAGTAAGGTGAAATGTAGAGACCACATGTGGATTATGAACAAGATTCTTTTTGTTTTTATTATTCTTTAAGTTCTGGGGTACATGTGCAGAATGTGCAGTTTTGTTAAATAGGTATACACGTGCCATGGTGGTTTGCTGCACCCATCAACCTGTCATCTACATTAGGTATTTCTCCTAATGCTATCCCACCACTAGCCCCCCACCACATGACAGGCCATGGTGTGTGATGTTCCCCTCCCTGTGTCCATGTATTCTCATTGTTCAACTCCCACTTAGGACTGAGAACATGCAGTGATTGGTTTTCTGTTCTTGTGTCAGTTTGCTGAGAATGAAGGTTTCCAGCTTCATCCATGTCCCTGCAAAGGACATGAACTCATCCTTTTTTATGGCTGCATAGTATTCCATGGTGTATATGTGCCACATTTTCTTTATCCAGTCTATCATTGATGGGCATTTGGGTTGGTTCCAAGTCTTTGCTATTCTGAATAGTACTGCAATAAACATACGTGTGCATCTGTCATTATAGGAGAATGATTTATAATCTTTGGGTAAATACCCAGTAATGGGATCGCTGGGTCAAATGGTATTTCTAGTTCTAGATCCTTGAGGAATTGCCACACTGTCTTCCACTATGGTTGAGCTAATTTACACTCCCACCAACAGGCTAAAAGCGTTCCTATTTCTCCACATCCTCTCCAGCATCTGTTGTTTCCTGACTTTTAATGATTGCCACTCTAACTGGTGTGAGATGGTATCTCATTGTGGTTTTTGATTTGCATTTCTCTAATGACCAGTAATGATAAGCTTTTTTTCATATGTCATTGTGGTTTCTGATTTGCATTTTTCTAATGACCAGTAATGATGAGCTTTTTTTCATATGTTTGCGGGCTACATAAATGTCTTCTTTTGAGAAGTATCTATTTATAGACTTTGCCCAGTTTTGATGGGGTTGTTTGCTTTTTCTTGCAAATTTGTTTGAGTTCATTGTAGAGTCTAGATATCAGCCCTTTGTCAGATGGAGAGATTGCAAAAATTTTCTCCCATTCTGTAGGTTACTTGTTCACTTTGATGATAATTTCTTTTGCTGTGCAGAAGCTCTTTAGTTTAATTAGATCCCATTTGTCAATTTTGTCTTTTGTTGCCATTGCTTTTGGCATTTTAGTCATGAAGTCTTAGCCCATGCCTATCTCCTGAATGGCATTGCCTAGGTTTTCTTCTAGGGTTTTTATGGTTTTAGGTCTTAGGTTTAAGTCTTTAATCCATCTTGAGTTAATTTTTGTGTAAGTTGTAAGGAAGGGGTCCTGTTTCAGTTTTCTGCATATGGCTAGCCAGTTTTCCCAACACCATTTATTAAATAGGGAATCCTTTCCCCATTGCTTGTTTTTCTCAGGTTTGTCAAAGATCAGATGGTTGTAGATGTGTGGTGTTATTTCTGTGGCCTCTGTTCCGTTCCATTGGTCTATATATCTGTTTTGGTACCAGTATCATGCTCTTTTGGTTACTGTAACTTTGTGGTATAGTTTGAAGTCAGGTAGCATGATGACTCGAGCTTTGTTCTTTTTGCTTAGTATTGTCTTGGCTATGCGGGATCTTTTTTGGTTCTATATGAAATTTAAAGTAGTTTTTTCCAATTATCTGAAGAATGTCAGTGGTAGCTTGATGGGGATAGCATTGAATCTTTGGGAAGTAAATAAATTTGGGAAGTATGGCCATTTTCACGATATTGATTCTTCCTATCCATGAGCGTGGAATGTTTTTCCATTTATTTGTGTCGTCTCTTATTTCCTTGAGTAGTGGTTTGTAGTTCTCCTTGAAGAGGTCTTTCACATCCCTTGTAAGTTATATTCCTAGGTATTTTATTCTCTTTGTAGCAATTGTGAATGGTAGTTTACTCATGATTTGTCTGTCTGTCTATTCTTGGTGTATAGGAATGCTTGTGATTTTTGCACATTGATTTTGTATCCTGAGATTCTGCTGAAGTTGCTTATCAGCTTAAGGAGATTTTGGGCTGAGACGATGGAGTTTTCTAAATATACAATCATGTCATCTGCAAACAGAAACAATTTGACTTCCTCTCTTCCTATTTGAATATGCTTTATTTCTTTCTTTGGCCTGATGGCCCTGGCCAGGACTTCCAATACTATGTTGAATAGGAGTGGTGAGAGAGGGCATCCCTGTCTTATGCCAGTTTTCAAAGGGAATGCTTCCAGTTTTTGACCATTCAGAATGATATTAGCTGTGGGTTTGTCATAAATAGCTCTTATTATTTTGAGATACGTTCCATCAACACCTAGTTTATAGAGAGTTTTTAGCATGAAGGGCTGTTGAATTTTTTCAAAGGCCTTTTCTGCATCTATCGAGATAATCACATGGTTTTTGTCATTGGTTCTGTTTATGTGATGGATTACGTTTACTGATTTGCATATGTTGAACCAGCCTTGCATCCCAGGGATGAAGCCGACTTGATCTGGTGGATAAGCTTTTTGATGTGCTGCTGGATTTGTTTTGCCAGTATTTTAATGAGGATTTTCCCATCGATGTTCATCAGGGATATTGGCCTGAAATTTTCTTTTTTTTGTGGTGTGTCTGCCAGGTTTTGGTATCAGGCTGATACTGGTCTCATAAAATGAGTTAGGGAGGAGTCCCTCTTTTTCTATTGTTTGGAATAGTTTCAGAAGGAATGGTGCCAGCTCCTCTTTGTACCGCTGGTAGAATTCAACTGTTAATCCCTCTGGTCCTGGACTTTTTTTGGTTGGTAGGCTATTAATTACTGCCTCACTTTCAGAACTTGTTATTGGTCTGTTCAGGGACTCAACTTCTTCTTGGTTTAGACTTGGGAGGGTGTATGCATCCAGGAATTTATCCATTTCTTCTAGATTTTCTAGTTATTTGCATAGAGGTGTTTATAGTATTCTCTGATGGTAGTTTGTATTTCTGTGGGATCAATGGTGATATACTTTTTATCATTTTGTACTGTGTCTATTTGATTCTTCTCTCTTTTCTTCTTTTTTATTCTGGCTAGTGGTCTATCTATTTTGTTGATCTTTTCAAAAAATCAGCTCCTGGATTCATTGATGTTTTGAAGGGCTTTTCGTGTCTCTATCTCCTTCAGTTCTGCTCTGATCTTAGTTATTTCTTGTCTTCTGGTAGCTTTTGAATTTGTTTGCTCTTGCTTCTCTAGTTCTTTTAATTGCAATGTTAGGGTGTTGATTTTAGATCTTTCCTGCTTTCTCTTGTGGGCATTTAGTGCTATAAATTTCTCTCTAAACACTGCCTTAAATGTGTCCCAGAGATTCTGTTATGTTGTGTTTTTGTTCTCATTGGTTTCAAAGAGCTTATTTATTTCTGCCTTAATTTCATTATTTACCCAGTAGTCGTTCAGGAGTAGGTTGTTCAGTTTCCATGTAGTTGTGCAGTTTTGAGTGAGTTTCTTAATCCTGAGTTCTAGTTTGATTTCACTGTAATCTGAGAGACTGTTATTATTTCCATTTTTTGCCTTTGGTGAGGAGTGTTTTACTTCCAATTCTATGGTCAATTTTAGAATAAGTGTGATGTGGTGCTGCTAGGAATGTATATTCTGCTGATTTTGGGTGGAGAGTTCTGTAGATGTCTATTAGGTCCACTTGGTCCAGAGCTGAGTTCAAATCCTGAATATCCTTCTTAATTTTCTATCTCATCGATCTGTCTAATATTGACAGTGGGGTGTTAAAGTCTCCCATTATTATTGTGTGGGAGTCTAAGTCTCTTTGTAGGTCTCTAAGAACTTGCTTTATGAATCTGGGTGCTCTTGTATTGGATGCCTATACATTTAGGATAGTTAGCTCTTCTTGTTGCATTGATCCCTTTACCATTATATAATGCCCTTCTTTGTCTCTTTTGATTTTTGTTGGTTTAAAGTCTGTTTTATGAGAGACTAGGATTGCAACCCCTGCTTTTTTTTGCTTTCCATTTGCTTGGTAAATATTCTTCCATCCCTTTATTTTGAGCCTATGTGTGCCTTTGCACATGAGATGTGTCTCCTGAATACAGCACACTGATAGGTCTTGACTCTTTATCCAGTTTGCCCGTCTGTGTCTTTTAATTGGGGCATTTAGTCCATTTACATTTAAGGTTAATATTGTTATGTGTGAATTTAATCCTGTCATTATGATGCTAGCTGGTTATTTTGTCTGTTAGTTGATGCAGTTTCTTCATAGTGTTGACGGTCTTTACAATATGGTATGTTTTTGTAGTGGCTCATACCAGTTTTTCCTTTCCATGTTTAGTGCTTCCTTCAGGAGCTCTTGTAACACAGGCCTGGTGGGGACAAAGTCTCTCAGCATTTGCTTGTCTGTAAAGGATTTTATTTCTTCTTTGCTTATGAAGCTTAGTTTGGCTGGATATGAAATTCTAGGTTGAAAATTATTTTCTTTAAAAATGTTGAATATTGGCCCCTACTCTCTTCTGGCTTGTAGGATTTCTGCAGAGCGATCCACTGTTTGTCTGAAAGGCTTCCCTTTGTGAGTAACCCGACCTTTCTCTCTGGCTGCCCTTAACATTTTTTCCTTCATTTCAACCTTGGTGAATCTGACAATTATGTGTCTTGGAGTTGTTCTTCTCAAGGCGTATCTTTGTGGCGTTCTCTGTGTTTCCTGAATTTGAATGTTGGCCTGTCTTGCTAGGTTGGGGAAGTTCTCCTGGATAATATCCTGAAGGGTGTTTTCCAACTTGGTTCCATTCTCCCCGTCAGTTTCAGGTACACCAATCAAACGTAGATCTGGTCTTTTCATGTACTCCCATATTTCTTGGAGGCTTTGTTCATTCCTTTTCATTCTTTTCTCTCTAATCTTGTCTTCTCGATTTATTTCATTAGGTTGATTTTCAGTCTCTGATAGCCTTTCTTCTGCTTGATTGATTCAGCTATGATATTTGTGTATGCTTCACAAAGTTCTCGTGCTGTGTTTTTCAGCTCTATCAGGTCATTTATATTCTTCTCTAAGCTGGTTATCCTAGTTAGCAATTCCTCTAGCCATTTTTCAAGGTTCTTAGCTTCCTTGCATTGGGTTAGAACACGCTCCTTTAGCTCAGAGGAGTTTGTTATTACTCAGCTTCTGAAGCCTACTTCTGTCAATTCATCAAACTCATTCTCCATCGTTTTGTTCCCTTGCTGGTGAGGGGTTGTGATCCTCAGTTGGAAATGCAGAAATTACCTGCCTTCTGCAGTGATCTCACTGGGAGCTGAAGACCAGAGCTGTTCCTATTTGTCCATCTCGCCAGCCTCTCCTCTGAACAAGATTCCTACACTGCAATGAAATTCAGCCCCTATAGACAGTCAACTACTTTTTAATCTTTCTGTGAGGAAAGTCTTTGTAAAAGTTGACCTTGCTGGAGGTGTGACCATGAATTCAACACTCCAGTCTTTGCTCAGGTTTTATGACCGCACAATCATCCATAAGACAGCCCAATATTTAATGCTGTTATTTTTATTTTATTTTTTTGAGACAGAGTCTCACTCTGTTACTAGGCTGGAGTGCAGTGGCACAATCTCTGCTCACTGCAACCTCTGCCTCCTGGGTTCAAGCAATTCTCCTGCCTCAGCCTCCCGAGTAGCTGGGACTACAGGCGTGTGCCACCACACCCAGCTAATTTTTGTATTTTTAGTAGAGACAGGGTTTCACCATGTTGGCCAGGATGGTCTCAATCTCTTGACCTTGTGATCCGCCCACCTCGGCCTCCATAAGTGCTGGGATTACAGGCGTGAGCCATCACACCTGGCCTAATGCTGTTATCTTAAATGCTTAAACTATCTGTCTCTAAAGACCTCCAATTTCATACCACTTCTATTATCAGTCTTGATATTAGAAAACTTGTCTCTCTGAGAAAGATGTTTGTTCCGTGTTCAGATAGCAAACTCACACATAAACTTTTGAACTGTAACCTGTGGTTAAATTGGGAGCTCATCATATTAATTTCTGCCAAACAGATTTTTTTGACTCAGGACAACGATAGACTATCAGGTGACAGCACAGTTTTAAAAAACTGACTTCCTATCCTGAAGGAGTTGACTACAACAGACTACCAATAAATCCAAATTCCAAGACAGTGCTGTGTAGGTTAGAACAGTCCCACCATTTTCTAATGTAAATGCTGAGAAATATTGTCAGTGCCCATGACAGTTATTTTGTGGTTTGGGTAGTGTGGAGAAACATAACCCCCAACTTCTTATATGTGTGCATACATGATACATACAAGACACACACACACACACAAACCTTGCCAAATTTGAAAAACATAGATTTTTTTTTTCCTCCAGAGTAGTAGCTAATTTTTTTTTTTTTTTTGACAGTCTCACTCTGTTGCCCAGACAGGAGTGCAGTGGTGCAATCTTGGCCCACTGCAACCTCCACCTCCTGGGTTCAGGTGATTCTCCTCCATCAGCCTCCCAAGTAGCTGGGATTACAGGTGCCCGCCATCACTCCTGGCTAATTTTTCTATTTTAGTAGAGATGGGTTTTTGTCATGTTGGCCACGCTGGTTTCAAACCCTTGACCTCAGGTGATTCTCTGGCCTCAGCCTCCCAAAGTCCAGGGATTACAGGTGTGAGCCACCACACCTGGCTTCTTTTAACTCTATGAAAGGGAGACACAGCAAGGTAAAGAGAACTGATTATAATGTAATCTTCCTCTGTTTTCCATAATTTTTTACTCTTACTGGAGGTTTAAGAAACCTGCAATTCTCTCACTTCAGCAGCTGTCAATCCGAGCAATGCTACATTTAGGGAACAATTTCCTTAACCTAGAGTTACAGAGAACATCAAAAGCATAGTTTTATTTAGATCTAAATTATATAACATTTAGAGTTGCAGGGCCCCATCCCCAAAAAGAAAAGATAATAATTAATTCTGTCATTTGCTTTAATCCAACTAGACACATTAAAAACAGCTTGAATGTCTTTACTTGCTCTACCTAAGTTTTCAAGGATTCTAGAATGCTATTGCTGTAACAAAATATTCAGATAAAAAGAACCTAAATTTGTTCCCTAATGTTGGAACAAAATAATAGGAGTATTTTCACTCATAAGGGAGTGAAAATAAAAATAAATAATAATAAATAATAAAACAATAAAATAAATAATAAAACTAAAAATAAAATGTATGAGCAATTAAATTATGCTCTTAAATTATATTCAGTGATTTAAAATGAAGAGATTCTTACTGGCTTTTAGAATTAACACAGTTAATATGTTTTTTATTTACATATTTTATCCTCAAAAATAAACTTATGAATTCACACTCTAGGTCCTAGAGGCTAAAAAATCTAGTGATTTAAATAATTTGGTTAATATAATGTATCCTGTGTTTCAGAATATTCAGTTTTATTTGTAAAATTATTTGATTTACTCTGTATTCCAAATACACTACAAAATTCATATGTATTATAAATAGATGTATTAAGAACAGAATGCATACACACATATAGGAGAACATTTTATTAAGTCAGATACGTTTAGTCAATAAATATTCATTGAGCATCTACCACATACCAGGCACAATGATAAATTACTTCAAATAAATGCGTATTTAGAGATTATCTTCACACCGTGAAGTAGCTGGCTAATATGCATAGCTATTTAATATGTATGTGTATGTAAGAACAGATGTACATACATACATATACATATCTATATGTAGATACATATCATATATTGTATATTCTCCATATACACATTACACAAATACATACTACTTATACATGTATATTTTATATACATATAGAGAGAGAGAGCATATGCCAAAATAAATTTAAATTGAATACTTTAAAATTACTCATATTTTATTATTTCTCTTGAGAAAGTCTATGCTGCTATAATTTATTTCAGGTAGATAAAGTCATACTTTTAAAAAATGCCTTTTTATCACAATGGTTCACAATGGTGCATTTTTTTTTACTTTTTATTTTCATTTCAATAGTTTTTGGGGTACAGGTGGTTTTTAGTTAGATGGATAAATTCTACACTTGATCTCAGCTAAAAGGCTGTGAAGTGATGGATGGATAAGCTCTTTAGTAGCGATTTCTGAGATTTTAGGGCACCTGTCACCTGAGCAGTATACAATGTACCCAATAGGTAGTCTTTTGTCCCTCACCTCCCTCCCAAGGTCCACCCCTCCAAATCCCCAAAGCCTATTGTATCATTCCTATGCCTTTGCATCCTCATTGCTTAGCTCCCACTTATAAGTGACAATATACGATATTTGGGTTTCCATTCCTGAATTACTTCACTTAGAATAATGGCATCCAGCTCCATCCATGTTGCTGCAAAAGACATTATTTTATTCCTTTATATGGCTGAAGTATTCCATGGTGTATATATACCACATTTTCTTTATCCACTCATTGGTTGATGGGCACTTATGTTGGTTTCATATCTTTGCAATTGCCTATTGTGCTGCTATAAATATGCACGTGTATCTGTCTTTTTCATATAATGACTTCTTTTCCTTAGGTAGATACCCAATAATGGGATTGCTGGATCCAATGGTAGTTCTACACTTAGTTCTTTAAGGAATCTCCATATTTTTTCAATAGTGGTTGTACTAATTTACATTCCCACCAGCAATGTAAAACTGTTCCCTTTTCACCACATCCATGCCAACATCTATTGTCTTTTGATTTTTAAATTATCACCATTCTTGCAGCAGTAAGGTGGTATCGCATTGTGTTTTAAGTTGCATTTCCCTAGTGTTGAGCATTTTTCCATATACTTGTTGGCCATTTGTATATCTTCTTTTGAGAATCATCTATTCATATCCTCTGCTCACTTTTTCGTGGGATTATTTTTTTTCCTGCTGATTTGTTTGAGTTCCTTGTAGATTCTGGATATTAGTCCTTTGTCAGTTGCATAGTTTGTGAATATATACTCCCACTCTGTAGGTTGTCTTTTTACTCTGCTGATTATTTCTTTTGCTGTGCAGAAGTTTTTTTAGTTTAATTAGATTCCATTTATTTATTTTTGTTTTTGTTGCATTTTCTTTTGGGATCTTAGTCATGAATTCTTTGCCTAAGCCAATGTCTAGAAGAGTTTTTTCAATGTCTTCCTCTAGAATTTTTATGGTTTCAGTACTTAGATTTTAGTCTTTGATCCATTTTGAGTTGATTTTTGTATAAGGTGAGGGATGGGGATACAGTTTCATTCTTCTACGTGTGGCTTGCCGGTTTTTCCAGCACCATTTATTGAATAGGATGTCCTTTCCCCAATTTATGTTTTTTATGCTTTGTTGAAGATCAGTTGGCTGTACATATATGGCTTTATTTCTGGGTTCACTATTCTGTTCCATTGGTCTACATGCCTATTTTCATGCCAGTACCAGGCTGTTTTGGTAACTTGTAGCATAATTTGAAGTTGGGTAATGTGATGCCTCCAGATTTGTTCTTTTTGCTTGGTATTGCTTTGGTTATGCGGGCTCTTTTGGGGTTCCATATAAATTTTAGAATTGTTTTTCTGGTTCTGTGAAGAATGATGATAGTATTTTGATGGGAATTGCACTGAATGTATAGATTACTTTGGGGCAGCATGGTCATTTTCACAGTATTGATTCTTCCCGTTCATGAGCATGAGATGTGTTTCCATTTGTTTGGGTCATCTATGATTTCTTTCAGCAGTGTTTTGTAGTTTTCCTTGCAGAGAGATATTTCACCTCCTTAGTTAAGTATATTCCTAGGTATTTTATTTTATGTTTTTGCAGCTGTTGTAAAAGGGATTGAGTTTTCTATTTGAATCTCAGCTTGGTCATTGTTGGTGTAAAGCAGTGCTACTGATTTGTGCACATTGATTTTCTATCCTGAGACTTTACCGAATTCATTCATCAGATCTAGGAGTTTTTTGAATTAGTCACAAAGGTGCATTTTATGATTCTTTAAGTGTTAATATCAAGTTTATGTATTATCTGGCGTGGCTTTCAGACACAAAACTTAAACATAAAATATTTATTTAAAAAAACCCTGCTTCTTGATATCATAATTAGTCTAGCTCAGTTATTCAACAAATATTTATTCAATGCTTATTCCATGCCAGTAATTGTTTTAAGCCCTGGGACTACAGAAGTTAACAAAACAGAGATCCCTACCTTTGTGGAGCTTTCATGGTAGCATTATGCAATTCAGTGGAATCAGTCTTGCAGTTTCCTTTATTATCTTTATCATAAGATCTTAGGACTGTGATTATGACATCTTGTAATTAAACTATACATTGTATTCTATGGACCATTAATAATTATGAATCAAGGAGACTAATAAGTCCTAAGAAGAGAAAGCTTTCTGTTCTATTTATTAACTATTCATGGTAATGCAAATCAACAACTGTGAATCAAATGCATTATTAGAAGTTGTTAGTTGGTTTTCATAGAGCTGAAATTATATTAGGAGCCTTAAAAGTAATTAGGTCCCAGTGTAAGAAAATGGATAATGAAGGTATTCCTATGTGGTTGATTTATTTTATAAGTAGATTTGTAATCTTTATAAAGCCATTACTAATTGTTCCACTTGCATAACATATAATTAAAAGGAAGGTTTATGGTTCCAACACTATTACAGTAGCAGAGAAAAATGTCCTACCATAAGGCTAAGAACTAGGAATTGGCTTTGATTTGAACAATGATAATTATTACAGCCAACATCTACAAATAATACAGGCTATACTTATAGCTTACTGTTACTTACATGAATTATTACAACGAACATTTTTTAAACATTGACATTGCCAAGCATCATGCATTTCATATAAATCAACTTTAATCTTTACACTAAGCACCCCCTACAGGGAAGTATTATTTTCCTATTTTACTAATGAGAAAACTGAGACTAAGGGAGGTGAAGTGACCTGACCAAGACGGTATTTAGGATGTGCATTTTGAATCTCTGTATCATTTGTCCCCCAAAACGCCAAACTTACTAATTTCTATTCAGCCTCCCAGGCTCACAGAACCAAGCCCAGAAGTCAGAGTATAAGGTCTGTAGCACAGTATATAATTCAGCTAACTGGAGCAAATAAATGACTTGAATTTTAAAAAAAAAAATTAGGATCTGAGCTAGATAGAGGTTAGCTCTTTTCTTGGCTTTCTACTTTAACTTTGCTTCACATTCATCCAAAAGAGAAATGGGACTGAAAGCACAGATAATCATAACTAAGCCCTTAGTCATTGTTATTTTATTATTAATGTACTTGGAGGAAAATAAACTTCCTAACCTTCTCTTGAATTCTCTGAGTTAGCCAAACAATCCCAGATAATCCTTTTCTATGACCAATGGGCTAAAATTTAAAAAAAAAGAAAATAATTATAATAGCAACTATAAACCAGATTTAAACCCATCGTAACTGAGTATAACAAGTCTCCCAAATTCCACTTTTCCTCATACCTACCTTAGCACACTTGCTTTGCTAGTCCAGCTATAATTGAAGAACAATTAACGTTAGCATCACATAATATATAAAAGGGAAAGAGACTACTTTTTCCACAGCCAGTGCCTTTTGGAGGTGATCCTCATACAAATTGTGTATTTTGGGTGATTTATACTTGCAATATTTTTCTTAAATATAAATAAAAGCACTCATATAGACAAATAAGCAGAAATAGTTCTCATTGAATTTTCATATTCTAGATTTTTTTAATTAAATGGTGATGAAAGGCTGGTATTTAGATTTGGCAAACAGACACCTAAAGGAAATTTTAAAATTTGGCAGCAGACTGCCATGGTATTCATTTATGATAGTAATTTTGAAATCGACAGGCCTTATTCTGTAGACAGCCTTTGATAGAGCTGTTTCAAAATGAGTGAGATTTATTTAAATCATTTCCTCCACCTCAAGAACTTGAGCTTGACAGACATGGACTAAACTAATCTAACCTGTTTTTCAATATCTGGATCTACTGGGAAGCCAGCCAACCAAGAAGAAATAAAAACTCTCTAATGTGGTAGAAACAAAATCACATATAGCATAGCTAGATGAAAAAAAAAATGTAGTTGGGAAACCCACATTGATCTCAGTCGAAAGTGGACTGAATTTGTATGAATACCTGTACCAAAAATCAATCTTTGACTAAAAATGTAGAAGAGAAAAGTACAGTTAAATATGTGAATGGAAAATGGGCTTACTTTACATTGTATAGTGAGTCTTTCAGAGGCACAACCTGACTGAATGCCAAAATTATCAGGGGGAATTTCTGGCAAATATTTTGCCATCCCATACCTGGAGGCTGTGATGGGACTGCCTCAGGATTAGGCTTGGAACATAGAGGATTCCTTTAAAAACAAAACTAAACAAAAAAACATGGAGGTATGGGGGCAGAAATAGTCCCAATAGTGCCAGTTCACCAATATAGGTGCACTCTGATTAGAAAGAACAGTAAGAAAGACAGAAGTTAGACCCACCCTAGAAACCTCAGATTGGGATGACTGTTGGGGCCTCAGAGTTCTCTGGGTAGACTGGAGAATCAAGCAGAAATTGGCTACTTAGAAGAGACCAAGGAGAAGGAAAAGTCATAAAAAGAGAGAGGGAATACACAAATAATAAATTTAGCTGACTTGATCACTGTGCCTCTGGAGAGACTCACCTGAAAATCAAAGGCACAAAATCTAATTGGCCTGAAGACATATTTCCAGCCAGTAAAATTTATCTTAATCTTACCCTCACCTTCATCTTTATTAACATTATAATTATATTCTGCAGTTTATTCCTAAAAAATATCTTAGAGATTATCTAGCTCAAACTGTTCAATTAGAGGATATGAAAACTGAAACCAGAATCATTTAGTGATGGGCCCAAGGTTAGCTAATAAGTTAGTTGCCAGAATCTCCTTCAGACAACTAGGTCAAGTTTCTTATTATTCTATGCCAATGTTTGCCAATCCTCAGTCATTTCTGTCTCCTCTTCACTTTTTGCCTCGTCTTAGTATCACCAATACTATCATCTTTTTCTGAAATTGATTCAGTTTTTACTTAATACATTTACATAAAGAAAAATAATTTTTATTATACTTTAAATTCTGGGATACATGTGCAGAACATGCAGGTTTGTTACATAGGTATACATGTGCCATGGTGGTTTGCTGCACCTGTCAACCATCTACATTAGGTATTTCTCTGAATGCTATCCCTCCCTTTGCCCCCACCCAGCAACAGGCCCTGGTGTGTGATCTTCCCCTCCCTGTGTCCATGTGTTCTCATTGTTCAACTCCCACTTATAAGTGAGAACATGCAGCGTTTGGTTTTCTGTTCCTGTGTTAGTTTGCTGAGAGTGATGGTTTCCAACTTCATCCATGTCCCTGCAAAGGACAAGAACTCATCCTTTTTTATGGCTGCATAGTATTCCATGGTGTATATGTGCCACATTTTCTTTATCCAGTTTATCATTGATAAACTGGTTGGTTTCAAGTCTTTGTTATTGCAAATAGTGCTGTAATAAACATACGTGTGCATGTGTCTTTATAGTAGAATTATTTATAATCCTTTGGGTATATACCCAGTAATGGGATTGCTGGGTCAAATGGTATTTCTGGTTCTAGATCTTTGAGGAATCGCCACACTGTCTTCCACAATGGTTGAACTAATTTACACTCCCACCAAAAGAGTAAAAGCATTCCTGTTTCTCCACATCCTCTCCAGCATCTGTTGTTTCCTGACTTTTTAATGATTGCCATCTAACTGGCGTGAGATGGTATCTCATTGTGGTTTTTGATTTGCATTTCTCTAATAACCAGTGTTGATAAGGTGTTTTTTCATATATTTGTTGGCCACATAAATGTCTTCTTTTGAGAAGTGTCTGTTCATATCCTTCACTCATGTTTTGATGGGGTTGTTTTTCTTCTTGTAAATGTGTTTAAGTTCCTTGTAGATTCTGGATATTAGCCCTTTGTCAGCTGGATAGAAAATTCTCTTCCATTCTGTAGGTTTCCTGTTCACTCTGATGATAGTTTCTTTTGCTGTGCAGAAGCTCTTTAGTTTAATTAGATCCCTTTTGTCACTACTGGCTTTTGTTGCCATTGCTTTTGGCATTTTAGTCATGAAGTCTTTGCCCATGCCTATGTCCTGAATGGCATTGCCTAGGTTTTCTTCTAGGTTTTTATAGTTTTAGGTCTTAAATTTAAGTCTTTAATCCATCTTGAGTTAATTTTTGTATAAGTTGTAAGAAAGGGGTCCAGTTTCAGTTTTCTGCATATGGCTAGCCAGTTTTCCCAACACCATTTATTAAATAGGGAATCCTTTCCCCATTTCTTGTTTTTGTCAGATTTATCAAAGATCAGATGGTTGTGGATGTGCAGCATTATTTCTGATGCATCTGTTCTGTTCCATTGGTCTATATATCTGTTTTGGTACCAGTACCATGCTGTTTTGGTTACTGTAGCCTTGTGGTATAGTTTGAAGTCAGGTAGCATGATGCCTCCAGTTTTGTTCCTTTTGCTTAGGATTGTCTTGGCTATTTGGACTCTTTTTTGGTTCCATATGAAATTTAAAGTAGTTTTTTCTAATTCTGTGAGGAATGTCAATCATGGCTTGATGGGGATAGCATTGAATCTATAAATAACTTTGGGCAGTATGGCCATTTTCATGATATTGATTTTTCCTATCCATGAGCATGGAATGTTTTTCCATTTGTTTGTGTACTCTCTTATTTCCTTGAGCAGTTGTTTGTAGTTCTTCACATCCCTTGTGAGTTGTATTCCTGGGTATTTTATTATCTTTGTAGCAGTTGTGAATGGGAGTTCACTCATGATTTGTCTCTCTGCTTGTCTATTCTTGGTGTATAGGAATGCTTGTGATTTTTGCACATTGATTTTGTATCCTGAGACTTTGCTGAAGTTGCTTATCAGCTTAAGGAGATTTTGGGCTGAGACGATGGGGTTTTCTAAATATACAATCATGTCATCTGCAAACAGGGACAATTTGACTTCCTCTCTTCCTATTTGAATACTCTTTCTTTCTTTCTCTTGCCTGATTGCCCTGGCCAGAACGTCCAATACTATGTTGAATAGGAGTGGTGAGAGAGGGCATCCTTGTCTTGTGCCGGTTTTCAAAGAGAATGCTTCCAGTTTTTGCCCATTCTATATGATATTAGCTGTGGGTTTGTCATAAATAGCCCTTATTATTTTGAGATATGTTCCATCAACACCTAGTTTATTGAGAGCTTTTAGCATGAAGGGGTGTTGAATTTTATCAAAGGCCTTTTCTGCATCTCTTGAGATAATCAATCATGTGGTTTTTGTCATTGGTTCTGTTTATGTGATGGATTATGTTTATTATTTTGCATATGTTGAACCAGCCTTGCATCCCAGGGATGAAGTCAACTTGATCGTGGTGGATAAGCTTTTTGATGTGCTGCTGGATTCTGTTTGCCAGTATTTTAATGAAGATTTTTGCATCGATCTTTATGAGGGATATTGGCCTGAAATTTTATTTTTTTGTGCCTCAATTTCAGAATTTATTATTGGTCTATTCAGGGATTTGACTTCTTCCTGGTTTAGCCTTGGAAGGGTGTATGTGTCCAGGAATTTGTCCATTTCTTCTAGATTTTCTAGTTTATTTGCATAGAGGTGTTTATAGTATTCTCTGATGGTAGGTTGTTTTTCTGTGGGATCAATGGTGATATCCTCTTTATCATTTTTTATTGTGTCTATTTGATTCTTCTTTCTTTTCTTTTTTATTATTCTGGCTAGTGATCTATCTATTTTGTTAATCTCTTCAAAAAACCAGGTCCTGGATTCATTGATTTTTTTGAAGGGTTTTTCATGTCTCTATCTCCTTCAGTTCTGCTCTGATCTTAGTTATTTCTTGTCTTCTGGTAGCTTTTGAATTTGTTTGCTCTTGCTTCTCTAGTTCTTTTAATTGTGATGTTAGGGTGTTGACTTTAGATCTTTCCTGCTTTCTCCTGTGGGCATTTAGTGCTATACATTTCTCTCCAAACATTGCTTTAGCTGTGTCCCACAGATTCTGGTACATTGTGTCTTTGTTCTCATTGGTTTCAAAAAACTTATTTATTTCTGCCTTAATTTCGTTATTTACCCAGTAGTCATTCAGGAGCAGGTTGTTCAGTTTCCATGTAGTTGTGCGGTTTTGAGTAAGTTTCTTAATCCTGAGTTCTAATTTGATTGCACTGTGGTCTGAGAGACTGTTGTGATTTCCGTTCTTTTGCATTCGGTGTGTAGTGTTTTACTTCCAATTATGTGGTCAATTTTAGAATAAGTGCGATGTGGTGCTGCTAAGAATGTATATTCTGTTGATTTGAAGTGGAGAGTTGTGTAGATGTCTGCTTGGTCCAAAGCTGAGTTCAAGTTCTGAGTTCTGTAGGTCTGCTTGGTCCAGAGCTGAGTTTAAGTCCTGAATATTCTTGTTAATTTTCTGTCTCATTGTTCTGTCTAATATTGACAGTGGAGTGTCAAAGTCTCCCATTATTATTGTGTGAGAGTCTAAGTCTCTTTGTAGGTCTCTAAGAACTTGCTTTATGAATCTGGGTGCTCCTGTATTGGGTGCATATATATGTAGAATAGTTAGCTCTGCTTGTTGCATTCATCCCTTTACCATTATGTAATGCCCTTCTTTGTCTTTTTTTATCTTTGTTGGTTTAAAGTCTGTTTTATGAGAGACTAGGATTGCAACCCCTGCTTTTTTTCTTTTCCTTTCCATTTGCTTGGTAAATATTCCTCCATCCCTTTATTTTGAGCCTATGTGTGTCTTTGCACGTGAGATGGGTCTCCTGAATACAGCACAATGATGGATTTTGACTCTATCCAATTTGCCAGTCTGTGTCTTTTAATTGTGGCATTTAGCCCGTTTGCATTTAAGGTTAATATTGTTATGTGTTAATCTGATCCTGTCATTATGATGCTAGTTGGTTATTTTGCCTGTTAGTTGATGCAGTTTCTTCATAGTGTCGGTGGTCTTTATAGTTTGTTATGTTTTTGCAGTGGCTGGTACTGGTTTTTCCTTTATGTGTTTAGTGCTGCCTTCTGGAGCTCTTGTAAGGCAGGCCTGGTGGTGACAAAATCGCTCAGCATTTGCTTGTCTCTCAGGATTTTATTTCTTCTTTGCTAATGAAGCTTAGTTTGGCTGGATATGAAATTCTGGGCTGAAAATTCTTTTCTTTAAGAATGTTAAATATTGGCCCCCCACTCTATTCTGGCTTGTAGGGTTTCAGCAGACAAATCTGCTATTAGTTTAATGGGCTTCCCTTTGTGAGTAAACCGACCTTTCTCTCTGGCTGCCCTTAACATTTTTTTCTTCATTTCATCCTTGGTGAATCTGATGATTATGTGTCTTGGGGTTGCTCTTCTCGAGGAGTATCTTTGTGGTGTTCTCTGTATTTACTGATTTGAATATTGGCCTGTCTTGCTAGGTTGGGGAAGTTCTCCTGGATAATATCCTAAGAGTGTTTTCAAACTTGGTTCTATTCTCCCCAGCACTTTCAGGTACATCAATTAAACATAGGTTTGGTCTTTTCACATAGTCCCATATTTCTTGGAGGCTTTGTTCGTTCCTTTTCATTCTTTTTTTCTCTAATCTTGACGTCACACTTTATGTCATTAAGTTGATCTTCAATCTCTGATATCCTTTCTTCTGCTTGATCGATTCAGCTATTGATACTTCTGTATGCTTCACGAAGGTCTCGTGCTGTGTTTTTCAGCTCCATCAGATCATTTATGTTCTTCTCTAAAGTGGTTATTCTAGTTAGCAATTCCTCCAGCCTTTTTTCATTTTTAGCTTCCTTGCATTGGGTTAGAACATGCTCCTTTAGCTCAGAGGAGTTTGTTATTACCCACCTTCTGAAGCCTCCTTCTGTAAATTCGTCAAACTCATTCTCCATCCAGTTTTGTTCTCTTGCTGGCAAGGAGTTGTGATCCTTTGCAGGAGAAAAGGTGTTCTGGTTTTTGGAATTTTCAGCCTTTTTGCACTGGTTTTTCCTCATCTTCATGGATTTATCTACCTTTGGTCTTTGATGCTGGTGACCTTCGGATGGGGTTTTTGTGTGGATGTCCTTTTTGTTGATGTTGACGCTATTCCTTTCTGTTTGTTAGTTTTCCTTATAACAGTCAGGCCCCTCTGCTGCAGGTCTGCTGGAGTTTGTTGGAGATCCACTCCAGACCCTGTTTACCTGGGTATCACCAGCGCAGGCTACAGAACAGCACAGATTGCTGCCTGTTCCTTCCTCTGGAAGCTTCGTCTCAGACGGGCACCCACCAGATGTCTGTTGACCCCTGCTGGAAGGTCTCTCCCACTCCGGAGGCACAGGGGTCAGGGACCCACTTGAGGAGGCAGTCTGTCCCTTAGCAGAACTTGAGCACTGTGCTGGGAGATCTGCTGCTCTCTTCAGAGCCAGCAGGCAGGAACGTTTAAGTGTCCTGAAGCTGTGCCCACAGCTGCCCCTTCCCCCAGGTGCTCTGTCCCAGGGAGATGGGAGTTTTATCTATAAGTCCCTGACTGGGGCTGCTGCCTTTGTTTCAGAGATGCCCTGCTCAGAGAGGAGGAATCTAGAGAGACACTCTTGCTACAGCAACTTTGCCGAGCTGCAGTGGGCTCCACCCAGTTCAAACTTCCCAGCAGCTTTGTTTACACTGTGAGGGGGAAACTGCCTAATCAAGCCTCAGTAATGGCAGACGCCCCTCCCTGCACCAAGCTCAAGCATTCCAGGTGGACATCAGACTGCTGTGCTGGCAGCGAGAATTTCAACCCAGTGGGTCTTAGCTTGTTGGGCTCCGTGGGGGTGGGATCTGCTGAGCTAGACCACTTGGCTCCCTGGCTTCAGTGCCCCTTTCCAGGGGAGTGAACAGTTCTGTCTCGCTGGCATTCTAGGGGCTACTAGGGTATGAAAAAAACTCCTGCTGCTAGCTCAGTGTCTGCCCAAATGGCTGCCCAGTTTTTTGCTTGAAACCCAGGGCCCTGGTGGTGCAGGCACCCAAGGGAATCTCCTGGTCTGTGGGTTGCAAAGACCGTGGGGAAAGCATAGTATCTGTGCCGGAATGCCCCGTTCCTCACGGCACAGTCCCTCACAGCTTCCCTTGGCTAGGGGAGGGAGTTCCCTGACCCCTTGCGCTTCCCGGGTGAGGCAACACCCCACCCTGCTTCTGCTTGCCTTCTGTGGGCTGCACCCACTGTCTAACCAGTCCCAATGAGATGAGCTGGGTACTTTAGTTGGAAATGCAGAAATTATCTCCTTCTGCGTTGATCTCGCTGGGAGCTGCAGAGCAGAGCTGTTCCTATTCAGCCATCTTTCCAGACACCTCAAGAAAAATTTTATATCACTACCGCAAATAGAAAAACCAAATTATTTGCCATGAATGGAAAGTAACAGTAAATATAAACACGACAGAGTAAAAATAATAAAACATGGTAATATATTCTAGTAGTATATTTCCTGATGAAAACTTTTTACAGGGGTCTGCTCTACCTTGGCAAAATGAAAAATTAGAGAAATTTAGAGACAACACCAAACTGAGAGGTCCTCCTTGAGATAATCACAAAGATTAAATGTTGTTTAGGAGGAAATAACTTTGTCGTTATGTGATTCAATGCTAATTAATGCCATATCCATGAACATGAAATCATGTCTCATGCTTCCTAATGTTATCTCAGGTATTGCCAGTGGTGACACATTTCTGGAAACACTGCTCAGTGGTATCACATGGAGTAGTAAACTGAGTCATACAACATTTTACTGGTAGTTATATTTAAATTTCTATTAAAAATGTTTTTGGCTGGGCGCAGTGGCTCATGCCTGTAATCCCAGCACTTTGGGAGGCCCAGGCAGGCGGATCACGAAGTAAGGAGATCGAGACCATCTTGGCTAACACGGTGAAACCCTGTCTCTATTAAAAATACAAAAAATAAAATTAGCTGGGCGTGGTGGCAGGCGCCTTGTAGTCCCAGCTACTTGGGAGGCTGAGGCAGGAGAATGGCGTGAACCCAGGAGGCTGAGCATGCAGTGAGCCGAGATCACGCCACTGCACTCCAACTGGGTGACAGAGCAAGACTCCACCTCAAAAAAAAAAGTTTTTAATTTTAAATTTCATAGGAAATGCTGATTGAATTTCAAGTCTAAAAAACCAGATTAATTACTTGATTTGAATAATTTAGTGCTAATTTAAAAGTCTTTTAATTACAACCCGAGATGAATTTAGGAATCAAAGCCATCTGACTTGTGATTATCCGTATCTTTTGTTAGGAGTTAGGTCTTATATTAATTGATTTTTGTCTTTCAAAGCATCTAGCATTGGTGACCCATGTCCAGGGATCTCATTGTGGTGGGGTGATGATTACTGACCAGGCTATGATCAGGTATAGAAAAACATTCACACTCTATGCTCTCAGGGTCTGGCCTCTGCTTGGCTCCATGTTGTACAGCTGAGAGTAGTGCAAGCTCTTCAATGATGAGATAGAATAAAAATATGTCTCAACAACTGAATTATCTGATTACCCAAAATGATTTCATATGGAAAAATAATTACTACATATAGAGGACATTTCATTTCAGTGACTTGAAGGATACTGAATTATTTGAAATTATGGACTAGACACCCTGCTATGGTCTAATATATCCCCCTAAATTCATGTTGGAAACTTAATCCCCAATCTAGCAGTATTAGGAGGTGGGGCTTTGGGGGAAGTATTTATGTCATAAGGGTTTCACCGTTATGAATGGATGAATGCCATTATAAAGGGGTTTGATGGAGGAAATTCATCCTTCTTGTGCCCTAAGCCTTCTACGATGTTAAGATACAGAAAGAAGACCCTCACTAGATACCAGTGCCTTAATCATGAACTTCGTAGCCTCCAGAATAGTGAGAATTAAATCTCTATTCTTTGTAAATTATTGTTTCCAGTATTATGTTACAGTAACACAAAACAAAGACACACTCTAATACTAACCCTTGACTGATTACTAAATTGCAGAAATCAGCTCTTTGGTTCAACATGTAATCAAGCCAACCCTGGAAGACATTGCCTTCTACCTCCAGGGCCAACACTGGTCAACCTTTCCCCACCTCATGCCTGCCTTCTACCCTTGTGGGTTAGTGAGTGTCTCCCTACCAAAAAAAAATAATAATAATAAGCCGAATGAGTTAAGCATATAGAAGCCTGATTATACTATGAAGAGCATTTACCTTTGAGTCAGAGACTCAAGTTTGAATAGTTACTTAACTTCACTGCTTAACAGCTATGAAGCCTGGGCGAAATCACTCAACACAGCCTGTTTCCTCTCTAAGAAATAAGGGATAATCATACTTTATTTATGAATTGTTATGAGAGTTCAATTGAGTTAACATTTCAGGTTAGTTGGATTTGACTAAATATTGGTTTAATTCATTTGTTCACTGATTAAAATTTTAATCATTCTCTAAAGTTCTTTCTTCTCTATTCTCTCACAATAATACTGTAAATAGCTCTGCTAAACTTGAGCTCTAAAAAGTACTTTTAAAAAATAAAGCATACAGTTAGGTTTAAATATTTTATGATTTAAAGAACAGGAGGAACTAAACTGATGAAACCCATTTTTCAATTTTTTTTTTTTTTTTTTTTTCTTGAGACGGAGTCTTGCCCTGTCACCCAGGTTGGAGTGCAGTGGCGCAATCTCGGCTCACTGCAACCTTCACCTCCCGGGTTCAAGCGATTCTCCTGCCTCAGCCTCCCGAGTAGCTGGGATTACAGGTGCCCACCACAATGCCTGGCTAAATTTAAATTTGTGTTTTTTGTTTTTGTTTTTTTGAGACAGAGTCTTGCTCTGTCGTTCAGGCTAGAATGCAGTGGCGTGATCTCGGCTCACTGCAACCTCCGCCTCCCAGGTTCAAGCGATTCTCCTGCCTCAGTCTCCCTGTAGGTGGGGTTACAGGTGCCCGCCATCGCGCCTGGATAATTTTTGTATTTTTAGTAGAGATGGGGTTTCCCCATCTTGGCCAGGCTGGTCTCAAACTCCTGACGTCATGATCCACCGAACTCGGCCTCCCAAAGTGCTGGGATTATAGGTGTGAGCCACCGCGCCTGGCCTAATTGTTGTATTTTTAGAAGAGACGGAGTTTCACCATGTTGGCCAAGCTGGTCTCAAACTCCTGACCTCAAGTGATCCACCAGCCTCGGCCTCCCAAAGTGCTGGGATTACAGGCATGAGCCACCATGCCCAGAATCCAGATTTTTTGAAGTAATTTTTCTTGAGCTTTGAGAAAATATGATTTATGAGCAATAAACCAATAAAAAGGCTATGCAAAAGTAGATGATGTTTCAAAATACTTTTAAGCTAGACTTAAGTACTTAATAAAATAGCTGAATTTATTCTTATATATAATATAAATCTCAGCAAACTGAATCTTTTCAATAAGAAAAGTAAAGGAAATATAGACTATTCCTAGCATAGTTCAGCTTAGTTGCTGGTTTGGAGAGATAGAAAAGAGTGCTTTAGGCCGGGCGGGGTGGCTCACGCCTGTAATCCCAGAACTTTGGAAGGCTGAGGCGGGTGGATCATGAGGTCAGGAGTTTGAGACCAGCCTGGCCAACATGGTGAAACCCCATCTCTACTAAAAATACAAAAATTAGCTGGGTATGGTAGCAGGTACCTGTAATCCCAGCCACTCAGGAGGCTGAGGCAGGAGAATAGCTTGAACCCGGGAGGCAGAGGTTGCAGTGAGCCGAGATCAAGCCACTGCACTACAGCCTGGGACAGGGCAAGACTCCATCTCAAAAAAAAAAAAAAAAACTGGAAAAAGAAAGAAAAGAGTGCTTTAGGATTAGGATGTTGTTTGAATGTTTTATATATATATAGTGTGTGTGTGTGTGTGTGTGTGTCTGTATAAAATGGACCAAGCAATAAAGAACTTTTAGCCAAGTATACTTTTAAAACCAAGTAAAATTTAATGTCATAACTTAAGTTATATTATAGGTGTTATTCCTAATATTTGGTTTTCAGGCTGTTTTCAGAATAAAACAGGGAAAGATCAAGAAATCGGCCAGTGTCTCTTCTTTCTGTGTAAACAGGTCTTTGTAGATAACCGTGTTTATCAGAGTCTGATTTTACTTTTCTCTTTGTACTAAATCTTCTGTTTAAAAAGTCTTAAACCACCTCTGTGTTTGTTTGAATTCCAAAGTTGAATAAATATAGCTGTTATGCGTAAATAACCAAAGGAGTGTTTCTCAAATTGTGTTGTCATGATTGTTTTCATTAGAATCAGCTGGAATGACTGTTAAAAGGGTAATTTCCTGGGCTCCACCACCCCAGTGCTACTGTAATAGAATAATGACCCTCAAATATGTCCACATCCTAATCCCCAAAACCACAGCCTATGTTGTGTTACCTGGCAAAGGAGAATTAAAGTTGTGGATGGAATAAAGATTGCTAATCGGCTGGCCTTAAAATAGGGAGATTAAAGCTGGGCACAGTGGCTCACACCTGCAATCCCAACCCTTTGGGATGCGGAGGCAGGAAGATCACTGGAGCCTAGGAGTTAGAGACCAGCATGGGCAACATTGTGAGACCCTTCTACAAAAAATAACTAAATAAATTAAGGAGATTCACCTAGGTTATCCAGATGGATCCAATGTAATCAGAAGGGTCCTTAAAGTAGAATAGGAGGCAGAAGAGGAGAAACAGTCAGAGGAAAGTGTGGCTACAGAAGAAAGGCACAGAGATGCCATGTGGTGGCTTTCAAGGAGAACGAGACCCATGAGCCAAAGAATGTGGGTGCCCTCTGGAAGCAAGAAAAGCGGTTCTCCTCTAGAGCCTTCAGAAAGGAACACAGCATTCCTGACACCGTGATTTTAACCCAATGAGACCCGTTCGAACTTCTAACTACAGAAATGTAAGGTAATAAATTTGTGTTATTTAAGCCACTAAGTTTCTGGTAATTCATTAAAACAGCAATAAGAAACTAAAAATATGCATCAAATCAAAATCTCTGAATATAAGATCAAGGAATGTGCCTTCTTATCAATTTCCCGGGTGAATCTTTTGTACTCTAACATTGGAAAACAACTGGTCTCGAGCAGTTTAAAAAAAAATTGAAGATATTTTAAAGGAAAGATAAATTTCTTACCTTTATAATGTAGGCAAAAAAAAAAAAAAAAGAGGGACAAGATAGTCAGGCTTCTGTTTGGAAGACCTACAAAGCTGGGAAAGTTAAGAAATAGTTAAATACGTTAACTTCTTCAGTGATGTATACTGAACACTGAACACTCCTTACAATGATTATTAAATTTTACAGTATAAGATATAGGTTCTTTATTCTTTATTCAAGTACTATAGGATCTAAAAGAGAGAAAAATTAATGTCAGCTGGAATACATTAATGATAGTTGGAAAAAGTGGATTTTCAATGGTAAGTGGAATTGAACACAAATGAAGTTTTAGTGAAGAAATATTTACAAAAGCAAAGATACCATGTAAAACCTAAAATGGTGCATTTTTGAAGGACCATGAAGCTAACCTGATTAACACGCGAAGCCATGAGGAGTTATGAGAAGTCAGTGGCTATCCTAGGAAATTCTGGAAAGTAAAGTTGGATGGTTAGTATGGACACTGATTATAGAAAGCTTTATAAGGCAAAGATTTTTGCCTAAACTATGGACAAATTGTTATTGAATAGAATCCTGTTGGGTGTTTTTAAACATGGTTACCTGATAAAAAAGCAGTCTGTAAGAAAAACTGGTCTTGTGGTACTATGTACAATAAATAAAGGAATGAACTAAAGTGACCACTTAGTCAGGATGCTTTAGGGTAACTTATGCTTACAGTGCCTAGGGCTAGATTTTTTTTTTTTTTTTAGACGGAGTCTTGCTTGTCACTGAGGCTGGAGTGCAGTGGCATGATCTCAGCTCACTGCAACCTCTGCCACCCAGGCTCACGTGATTCTCCTCTCTCAGCCTCCCGAGTAGCTGGGATTACAGGCGCATGCCACCACGCCTGGTTAATTTTTTGTATTTTTAGTAGAGACAGGGTTTCACCATGTTGGCCAGGCTGGTGTCGAACTCCTGACCTCACATGATCCACCTGCCTCAGTCTCCCAAAGTCCTGGGATTACAGGCATGAGCCACTTCACCCACCCTACATTTTTTTTTAATGACAGACGCTATATTAGAGGTGAAGATATCAATAACTCATATTTAGCTTAATATAAATACAAATGGATACATGTAGAAATAGGGATTTCTATATGTATCCATGGAATAGTGTACATATATATATTTTCTTTTTCATTTGAGAGGGCCTAAAAGAAACTATACCCCAATACCAATGGGCACACCCAGTGCCCAAATCTTGATTGCAGAGACAATTCTCCAATAAAAGGAAACAGCAATCCTTGGAGAAATAATTGAGTCAAAACTGTGGCAATATGGTAGAATAATGTCCTTTCTCATCAAGAGGTCCACATTCTAATCCCCAGAAACTCTGAATATGTCATGTTAAATGGCAAAGAGGAATTAAGATAGCAGATAGATTATTATTATTATTTATTTATTTAGAGAAAGGGTCTCACTTTGATGCTCAGGCTTGTCTCAAATTCCTGGCTTCATATAATCCTCCTGCCTTGGCCTCCCAAAGTGTTAGGATTACAGATGTGAGCCAACATACCCAGCTCTAGCAGACAGATTGTAAGTTGCTAATCGGCTAGTTCTAATAGAGGGAAATTATTGTGGATTTTTTTTAGGTGGGTCAATATAATCACAAGAGTCCTTAAGTGTAGAAGAGGGAGGCAGAAAAGGATAACCAGAGAGATGGCAGCATGAGAAAGAATCAACTTGATATTGCTGGCTTTGAAAATGGAAGAATGGAGGCCATGTTGGTGGCTCACACCTGTAATCCCAGCACTTTGGGAAGCCAAAGTGGGAGGATTGCTTGAGCCCAGGAGTTCAAGATCAATCTAGACAACATGGTGAAATCAAAAAAACAAAACAAAACAAAAAACTAGCTAGGCATGGTGGCATGCACCTGTATTCCCGGCTACTCGGGAGGCTGAGTGGGGAGGATAGTTTGAGCCCAGGAAGTCACGGCTGCAGTGAGCCGAGATTGCACCACTGCACTCCAGCCTGGGTGACAGAGCAAGACTCTGGAAAAAAAATATATATATATATATGAAAGGAAAGGAGAAAGAAAGGAAAATGGAGGAATGGGACCATGATCCAAGGATGTTAGAAGGCTCTAGAAGATGGAAAAGGTAAAAAAACAAAATTTCCCTTTCAGCCTCCAGAAAGAATGCAGCCCTTTGTATACCTCAATTTTAGCCCAGTGAGACCCATTTTGGAATTCTTACCATCAGAATAACAAGATAATGAATTTGTGTTGTTTTAATCTACTAAGTTTATGGTAACTTGTTACAATAACAATAGGAAACCAATACAGACAGGAAATATACAAGATGACCCTAGAGCATCTTATAGTGCCAGGATGTAAGGAAATGTTTAAAAGAAAAAAAAATGAGGTATGTCAAAGGAACATAGGAGCTGAGTGAAAGAGCTTCCAATGGCTAGAGCTGGAACAATTTGAGGAATGAAGTAAATAACAGCATTGTATTATAACTCAAAGTATAATATAAATATCCCTGAGTTCACACTGATAAAAATAAATAATTGAATAAATAGGCAAGAATAGACCAATTTCTATGTAAAAATTCAAGTAATTCCTAAAGAAACTCTGTTCTCAAAGAGGGGAGCATAACTACCCACTTCTTAAGTGTGGGCTGCATATAATAGCTTCCTTCCAAAGAATACAGTACAGAAAGGGAGAAAGAGAATAACTTTACGATGGAGAAATCTAACAAACACCACCTCAGCCAGGTAATCAAGGTTAACATTAGCAACAATAATCATGTTGACAGCATGCACTCCTGATACATGATGAGAATGGCACTTTATCTCTGTAGTCTTTCTCCCCAAAACTTATAACCCCAGTATAGTCATAAGAAAAACTACATACAAACCCACTGAAAGACATTCTAAAAAATACCTAACCAGTACTCCTTAAAACTCTAAAGGTCATCTATAACAAAGAAAATCTGGGAAACTATCACAGCCAAAAGAAGCTTAAGAAGACATTACAACTAAATGCAATGTAATATCCTGGGTAAGATTATGAAATAGAAAAGAAATTAGGTAAAAACCAAGGAGGTATGAATGAAGTATGAACTTTAGTTAATAATAATGCATCAGTGTTGTTTGATTAGTTCTGCCAGATATACCATACTAATGTTAAGATGCTAATAACAGGAAAAACTGCATGAAGGATAAAAGAGATTTCTCTATTCTCTTTGCAATTTTCGGTAAATATAAATCCCTTAAATAAAAAAGTTTATTTTTAAAATGACAGAAATATTCTAGAGGAAGAAACATTTTATGCAAGATTTTAAAGGAAATAATAACTGGGTTAGTGATTAATTAGATAAAGCAGATGAAAACTAATGAATGAGTCATAGATTATGCCAAAGTTTTAGGCCTCTATTGTCAGGAGAATGTAATGCAGTGACAAAGAGAAAGCTTGCTGGTGGTTGGGCAAATAAGTTTGGGACACAACAAATTTGAGACAAAAATGGATAATCCAAGTGTAAACATAATCAGCAGTTGGTGATAAAGAATTGGATGTTGGGTGAACGTTTGTAAATGGAAATGTGGATGTAGATTTAGTCAATCAGTAAACATATATGGAATCACTACTTAAAGAGCTCTGTGTGGAGTAGGGAAAGGAAATGTATACTAAAATGCAAACCAAGGCATATGTCTATATAAAAATAACAAAAAACCGTGAATGTGCTTAAATAAGAACTATCTAAGAGTTCAGTAGACAGAGGCTCCTCCATGCACACTTTGTCTGTGTGAGTGAAATCAGTAATGAAAAGATGATGATGTGTCCCCCCAAAATTCATATGCTGAGGCCTTAATTCCCAATATTGCTGTATCTGGAGGTGGGGCCTCTAAGAAGTAATTAAAGTTAGATGAGGTAAGGAGTATGGAGTCGTAATCTTCTAAGATTAGTGTCTTCATAAGAAGAGACACCAGAAACCCCCCTTCCCCTTCCCTCACTGCAAGGTGCACACACCAAGAAAAAAGGCCGTGAGGTATATGGAGAATGTAGCCAGGAAGGGAGACCTCCCCAGACACCAAAATGGCCAGAACCTTGATCTTGGAATTTCCAGCTTCCAGACTGAGAGAAAATTAATTTATGTTGTTTAAGCCACCCAGCCTGTGGTATTTTGTTTTTGCATCCTGACTGCCTAATACAGATGGTTACCAGAGGGTAAACTGAAAAAATGTGAATAGTGAGAGCATAAAGTAAGACAAGGAAAAAGAAGCCTTCTTTTGTTTGTTCATAAATATTCAAAATTTATCTTGTGCCAGACATTGTACTAGATCCCAAGGTTAGGATAATGAACATGATACAATCTCTACCTGCATAGAACTTACATTTTTGGCATGTCACAAACAAGAAATAATAGAAAAGCCAAATACAGATCATGAGAAGTGGTATGAATGAAGATGAAAGAAGGAAGACGAAATAAAGAATAATTATATTCAGTGCAAGTGGGTCTTGAGCAGTCAATTAAGAACTCTGAGGAGATAGTATTTAGGCTGAGACCTGAAGGATGAAAATGAGCTAGCTATGCAAAAATACTTAAGAGCTTTGCAGACAAAGAGAACAGGAAGTGCAAATGCCTTGGCATCAGAAAGCACCTTGGGAATTTGAAAAACAGAAGAGAGGCCAATTGGATTGCCATAAAATAATTAAGGGAGAATATAAAGGGTAGAAGGTAACATTGTATAGGTATACAGGAGCCACATCATCCAGACAGGCCATTGTAAGAAGAATGGACATATTCTAAGGACAATGAGAAACCACTGAATTAATCTAAGAAAAAAATGATTCCTGATTCATGTTTCTAAGTGATTACTGATTGCTATGTGAAGACAAATTTTTTTTGGAGAAGGGCAAGAGAAGAAGCAAAGAAATCTATTTCACATAGTACAGAAAGAGATTGTAGTGAATTAATTTTGAATGGTGGTATGTAGATAGAGGGAAGTGGTAAAACCTGAGATATTTTTTGGTGGTAGAAAAAAATGAACTGGATGATGAATTGGATGTAGGGAATTGCAGAAAGAGAAAAATTAAAGCTGATACCTGAGTGTTATTTTAGAAAATGGATGAATAAGGGTGCCATATACTGAGATGAGAGAGAGTTGCAAATAACTAGGTTTGTGAAGAAAGTCAAAAGCTCAGTTTGGGTCATTGGGCTAGAAATTAATTTTGAAAACCATGAGTGTATACAGTACAAGTTACTTAAATCCATGAGACTAAATAAGATCACTTAGGGAGAAAGCTCTGATAGAATTGAAAAGAGACTAGCTCTGAGGCTTGGCAAAGAGAGAAGGAGTAACAGTGAGGTAAGAGGAAAACCAGGACGATGATGTCACAGAGCCAAGGGAAGAAAGGCTTTAAGGAGAGTGTTTTGCTGGGTCTAATGCTGCCAAGGCATCAAATGAGGTAGGAAGAGAGGAGTTGGGTTTGGCAATGCAGAGACTGTGGGAGACCTTGACAAAGGTCCACCTCACTGCAGAGGTGGAAACAGAAGCTACATTAGAATGGGGTGAATAATTAATTGGAAGAAAGAAAGTGGTGATAGTGAACATTGATAACATGTTTAAGATGTTAAATAGAAGAATTAAAAGTAATAGGGCAGTATCCAGAAAATAAGATGGAATCAACAGAAGTGTGTTTACTTTTTTTTTTTTTTAACATGGGGCATGTCAGATACGTTAATAGGTATGATCTAACAGAAAGGGTGAGAGTGATGCTGCTAGATAGAGGAGCAGAGGAGCAAATACTCCTAGTCCATGACAAGCAAGAGGGGATTAAATCCAGAGAAAAATAGGAAGATTTGCATTTGATAATGGCAGAGATATTTCCTTCACTGTAACAAAAAGGACAAAGTTTCTGTTTGGTTAGATTTCGTGTGGGAAGATGAGGGAGTTTACCTTCAATGTTTTCTATTTTCTTTTCCCTTTTCTTTCTTTTTTTTCTTCTGCTTCTTCTTTTTTTTTTTTTTTTTTTTTTTTTTTTTTTTTTTTTTTGAGACAAGGTATCACTTTGCTGCACAGGTTGAAGTACAGTGGTACAGTCATGGCTCACTGTAGCCTTCACAAACCCAGTCATTTGGACTCCTAGGTTCAGGCAATCCTCCTGCCTCAGCCTCCAGAGTAGCTGGGACTATAGGCATGCTTCACCATGCCTGGCTAATTTTTTTTTTTTTAAATAGGGACATGATCATGCTATGTTGACCAGGCAGGTCTGGAACTCCTAGGCTCAAGCAATCTTCCCACTTTAGCCTCCCAAAATGCTGGGATCACAGGCTTGAGTCACTGTGCCCAGCGGATACCTTCTGTTTTCTCAGTTAAGCAGGGAAGGTGTGTGAAGGGTGAAGTGCAGGTTTTCAACTGTCATCTGAGAAAGTCAAAAGCAAATCTGCTAGAAAAACATACAAGAATGGTAGGCAGTATTGAATGGCTAGTTGAAGTTTTTGTGATGAATTTCAAGTGTTATCAGTCACCCTAGTATTTTCTACCAATGTTAAGCTACTGAAGTTCAAACAAGGAAAACAGTAGTTTGCAGATTACAATAGGGCTAAAGAACTGCAGCAATGGAAGACTCAGGTAAATGAATTAGAAGAACAGGAGGTGATGGTCATAAAGTAGGATGCTTCAAATAAAGAATTACCAGGTGGTTTCATTAGTGGTGATAAGTTCCAGTGGTCTTGTGATAGGTGGCAAAGGTGGGATAGAGGAAAACATTGAAAGAGGAGAGGTCAAGGAATAGAGAAGCTAAAGTTCAGAGTGTTTCTTCTACATGGTTCTTGGAATCACTAAGAACAATGACAGGAATGAAGATGTACAGGAAGGCAGTGAGTCAGTAGTTGAAGTATTAAGTGAATGAAGAGAAATGATTAGGAAGGTAGATAGGAATTACCGCCAAGAAGTCATGGGTAGTAAAACCGGATAGGAAAACACAGAGTACTTGATCAGCTAAGATTGGAAGGATATTGTCCTAAAGACAATGTATCATGGCTCTTTATATATATATATTTGTTTATATTTATATATAATATATGATATATATTTATATATAATACATATTTATATATAAATATGTATTTTAAATATATTTATTTATATTATATATATCATATATATTCAGTTACATACATATGTGACTATGAATAACTCTACAATGTGTTTTCATTTTTTAATCATATGCTCTTATCAATCAAGGATTCTGAGCATATAATATTTATAAATCACAAATATGCTACTCTGCAGATAGTTATTACAAAAGAAATTTTATAGGATTAAATATATACATCAAATAAACTAAGCCTAATATTTCAAACATCTTTACTCTCACTAGAAAATTATTAATCATTTTATAATTGAAAATACTTTATTTTTAAAAACCTTGATTTAAACTTTGGAATCAAGTGATTTGAAAGTCCGGTACTAAGTTTAGTTTACATCAGTACATGATTTTAATGATTTTCCTAACTGAAAAAGAAACCTCACAAAAACATTTGTGTGCAAATGAAATGTATCTCTGGCTGTGTTTACCAAATTCTGATACTCATTTTTTAATCCTACTTAGCAACTATACAAAAGTTTTCATAACTTTCATATAATAAATATCAATTTATCCTGATGTCACTAAACTTTTCTATAAACTAATAAAAAGTTATAATATTCTTATGTAATAAATGAATTTAAAACTCACTGAATTCTTTATGTGAAAGATTTAGAATAAATTAGAAAAATCTTGTTAGGCATGCTGATAAGGGGATTTTAAAGAAGCTGTAATAATTTTTAGCTGTATCACTTAAAAATGGAAAATTTTTCAGTTTATATTCAAAATGCCCTTTTCATAGCACAAATTTCTTTCAAAAACAAGATACTTTTTAATAATTGCTAAAATACTATTTTTTTTATCTGTGAGAGATTAAATATAAGGACTGTTTTTGTTGTTTGAGACAGGATCTGGCTCTGTTGCCCAGGCAACAGTTGTGCAGTGATACAATCTTGGCTCACTGAAACCTCTACCTCTTGGGCTCAGGCAATCTTCCCACGGCTCACTGAAACCTCTACCTCTTGGGCTCAGGCAATCTTCCCACGGCTCACTGAAACCTCTACCTCTTGGGCTCAGGCAATCTTCCCACCTCAGTTTCCTAAGCAGCTGGGACTACAGGCGTGCACCACCACACCTGGCTAGTTTTTATATTTTTGGTAGAGATGAGGTTTCGCCACATTACCCAGGCTGATCTCAAACTCCCAAGCTCAAAGGATCCACCCGCCTGAATCTCCCAAAATGCTGGGATTACAGGTGTAAGCCACTGTGCCTGGCCAAGGTTTTTTGTTGTTGTTGTTGTTTGGTTTGTTTGTTTGTTTTTCTTTCTATAAAGCTGCTTGGTAAAATACATACTTAGAACAATTGGGTTTTTTGTGTGTGATGGAAAATGACTCACACATCTTGGCCTCACTAGTCTTTGGGGACTCTGTGTACTTATTCCAACAGCCATTGCAGCAACATACAGGTATGTGTGACTTGTGTGACTTCACAAGGTACAAACTGCTAGCACCTCTCCTCCCATCCTGGGATTCTCTTTTAATGCTAAGGCATAAGATGCCACCACATGATTCCTTGGCATTCACATATGTACAAGTCCAAAATGTGGGAGAATCAAAGCTCCATGGGGTGAAACTTTGTATTAGTTAGGGTTTTCCAGAGAAACAGGACTATTAGGTTGGTGTAAAAGTAATTGCGGTTTTTGCCATTACTTTTAGTGGTAAAACCACAATTACTTTTGCACCAACCTATAATAGGGGTGTGTGTGTGCATGTGTGTACACATAAAGAGAGATGTATTATAAGAAATTAGTAAGAAATTAGCTCATGAGATTATGCTAAGATGTCCTATGTTCTGCCATTTACCTGGAGACCCAGGAAAGCCATTGTGGTATTGTGAAATATATATCTGGTCTTCTTCCCTGTTTCCTGGCATACAGATACTAAAACCCTTAGAATTTCAGAAATGATGGATTATCTTTTGTATGTTAATGAGATAACCAGTAGGTGTGGAACCCTAGATAGCTTCAGGATGGGAGCTGGTTGCCAGAAAGACCAAGACATAATTAGAGGATTGAGACTTTCAGCCCTAACCTATGGAGAAGGGAGAGGGGCTGAAGATTGAGTTGGCCATCAACAATGGCCAATGATATAATCAATCATGCCTATGCAATGAAGCCACCATAAAAACTCAAAAAGGCAGAGTTTGGAACAGCTTCTGGGTAGCTGAACATGTGAAAGTTTCTGGAAAGTAATGTGCCAGTGAGAGCATGAAAGCTCCATGTCCCTTCTTCCATACTTTAATCTATACACTTTTCCATCTGGTTGTTCATCTGTATTTTTTATAATGTCCTTCATAATAAGTGGGTAAATGTAAGTGTCTCCCTGAGTTATGTGAGAACCTCTAGTAAGTTAACAGAAACTGAGAAGGAGAGTCATGGGAACCCTGATTTATGGCTGCTCTGTCGGAAGCACAGGCCACAACCTGGGGCTTGCAGTTGGCATCTGAAGTGGAGGACACTCTTGGGGGACTGAGCACTCAACCTGTGGGGTCTGATGTTATCTCCAGGTACACAGTGTTAGGATTGAATTGAACTACACGACACCCAGCTTGTGTCTGCTGGAGGAGTGCTTGCTTGGTGTGTGGAGAGATAACCTCACACATCTGGCCTCTGAAGTGTTGGATTGAGTATGTTAGTACAGAGTCTGAAAAACATTTGGGTTTGTTTTTCCCATGTATTATAGCCAGAAATGTAGTTCTGGAAAGCTGATGGTGCCAATTTCAGGGTAGGTCTGAAGACCTGAGAACCAGGAGCACTCAGGGAAAAGATTGATGCCTCAGCTCAAGCAGTCACACAGAGAGCAAATTCAACCTTCCTCTACCTTTTTGTTCTATTCAGGCCCTCAACAGACTGCATGATGCCCATCCACACTGGGAAGAACAATCTGCTTTACTTGATCTACTGATTTAAATGCTAATCTCTTCTAGAAATAACTTCACAGGCACCTCTAATAATGTTTTACCATGTATCTGGACATCCGGTATCCCAGTTAGGTTGACACATAAAATTAATAATCACAAGTTTTGGCCAAGAGAAGAAGGCCAGAAGATTATTACTTCCCCATTTCTCCTCCCAAGGGACTCTCCTGGGAAGATGAAGTCACTTATAAAGCCTCTAAGAAGATGGCCACATGAGACTGAGCCATGGCATTTGACACTAGTAGCGGCATTCTGGTTAATGCAGCTTTGTATTGGCTCTCTCTCTCATTTCTTGCCACATTCTTGTTTTGCTTCATCCTGGGCCTAAGGATTGCATTACAGATGAGGATATAACATATAATCCTTCCCCTCAGTCTCTAAACCCAAGTTAATAGAAATACTTTTTCCTGAGGTAAAGAATGAACCCCTTATTGTATAAAATATGCTCATGGTAACACCTCCTCAAATTACAAAGTATTTCAGGTAACATAGGAGATATACAGCAGGTCCTCCTGGTATATGATTCAATGTCATTTTGTTACAATGTTGATGAGAAAAAAAATGTATTCCTGGCTGAGGTCACTATCTGTGTAGAGTCTGCCTGCGTGTTCTCCCCATGTCTGTGTGGGTTTTCTCTGGGTACTCTGGTTCCTTCCCACATCCCAGTGATGTGCACATTAGGTTAATTGGCACATCTAAATTGTCCTGGTCTGAGTGAGCGTGGATGTGAACGTGCTCTGCGATGGGATGGTGTCCTCTCCAGGGCTGGTTCCTGCCTTGAGCACTGAGCTGCCAGGAAAGGCTCCAGCTACCGGCAACCCTGAACTGGAATAAGCAGGTAAATAATTATCTTACTTGTTTTTATTAACTTTAAATGTATGTGTAGCTCACATTTATTTCAATGTTTATTATTAGAAGTGTTTTGGTCTTTATTTAGAAGTTTGGTGGGTTTTGTGACCAGAAATATGCTATAGATACTTAACTTTGGTTTATATTTATCCTATGGTAAAATCGGTTTTGCTGTACACTGTTTTGGTTCAAGTCAGTTTCCAAGAACCTACTGACAATGTTAGTGAGGACGTACTATAATCATCTGATCCATTTAACCAAGTACATTTAATTGCAATATGTGGTAACATAATTTTACATAAATGTGGTGCCAGTGTAAAATCTTCCAGTGTAAATCCTGTGTGGGATTTGTTTCTTAGGCATACCTTACATATTGTATATAAAATGGGACCATCAGACAAAAAAGCCTGATTTTGTCAGTATCAATTAATATATTAAACACAAGTAAAGCTTAATATCTCTGTCTCTCTACCTAGCTATATTTAGAATTGACTTGCATGCCTTCTTGGGAGTATACATCCCCATTTTGGAGACAGGTGTTCTAGAAGCTTCACAGTCAATGCCTATATGGCAACAATTCCCTCCGTAGTAGTGGTGAAGTCATGAGACATCAATGTCCTACATGAAAGAGATAGTTATAGCCCAATAGATGGGGAAAATAATATAAATTTAGAGAACTAATTTTAATCACCTCCTAGGAAGATAGAGTGCAAAGCTTTTTGAAGCAAAGACCCCTCTCTCACAGTATGTGTTAATTTCTTATTCAGCATTTAGGTGTAAATTGTTCATTTTGAAATAAATTGTTCTATCAAATGACCTGGGTATCATCTACCACTAATTTTATCTTTTAAGTATAGCTATTAATCATAAGCTTTAATTCAAAATATTTAGCACTATACATGTTTTTATCAGAGATCTATTTAAATTTTACTTACTCTATGCAAAGGTGTAAGAATGATACAATGGAATTTGGGGACTCAGGGGAAAGAGTGGGAGGGGAGTGAGGAGACTACACATTGGATACAGTGTACACTGCTCAGGTGATGGGTGCACCAAAATCTCAGAAATCACCACTAAAGAACTTGTTCATGTAACCAAACACCACCTGTTCCCCCAAAACCTATTGAGATAAAATTTAAAAATTATACTTCCTGCAACAGATATGAGTTATCTCCAACCTAAATCATTTCCATTTTAGCATTTAAACTGAAGTTTTCTGTTTTACAAAAAGTAGGACTGTTATTGTACAAATTTTAATTTCCTTAATTATGTATAAAATATATTTTTAAAACAGTAGAATTAATATATCTTTAATTCATAATACTTTTCACAGATATTTGGGGAAGTTTCTTTCAGGAAACAGCCAAAATTCTAACTGCCACATATTGGCTAATAGTCGAAAAATCATAGTTTGAGTAAATACTGTTGTTTGAGGTTATAATTTAAATGCCAGTTATAAATAAGTGTATTAAAAACTTCAATGTCTAATTTGAAACAATTGTATATAAAAAGATCACATTTCAACCACAATCTCCAATTAGAAGATATATTGTGTAGATCTTTTTTTATAATTCTACACAAAAATACAACAAAAAAGAAAACTACAGGCTAATATCCCTGATGAACATAGATGCAAAAAATCTCAACAATATATTAGAAAACTGAATCTACCAACATATCAAAAAGATTATACATGATCGAGTTGGATTTTTATTGTCATTTTTTTAGATGGGGTCTTAATATGTTCCCCAAGTTGGTCTCTTACTATGTTCCCTAAGTTGGTCTCAAACTCCTGGGCTCAAGCAATCCTCCCACGTCAGGAGTGGGAGGATTGTTGCAACTACACATATTGCATCTACAGGCATGTGCCACTGAGCCTGGCTTCAAGTTCAAGTGGGATTTATCCCAAGGATGCAAGGATGGTTCAAAACATGCAAGTCAATAATCGTGATATATCACATCAACAGAATGAAGAATTAAAAAAATGATCATTTCAATAGATGCAGAAAAAGCATTTCATAATATTCAATATCACTTAATGATAAAAACTTTCAACAAATTAGGCATAGAAGGAAAGCACCTCAACACAATAAAAGCCATATATGACAAACCCACAGCTAACATACTGAATGGGGAAAAGATGGAAGCTTTTCCTCTAAAAACTGGAATAAGACAAGGATGCCCACTTTCACTACTCTTATTCAACATAGTATTGAAGTCTTAATTAGATCACTTAGGCAAGAGAAAGAAATAAAAGCCATTCAGACTGGAAAGGAAGAAGTCAAACTGTCCCTGTTTGCGGATAACATGATCTTATATATAGATAATGCTAAAGATGACCAAAAAACTCTTAGAGCTGATAAACAAATTCGGTAAAGCTGCAAAATACAAAATCAGCGTACAAAAATCAGTAGCATTTCCATTTATAATTATACCTACCCAAAAAAGTCTAGGAATAAATTTAATAAAGGGGGTGAAATATCTCTAAAATGAAAACTACAAAACACTGATGAAAAAATTAAGAGGACACAAAAAATGAAAAGTCATCCTATATTTATGGATTGCAAGAATTAATATTTTTAAAATTACCATGCCATCCAAGGTAATCTACATATTCAATCCAATTCCTATCAAAATACCAATAACATTCTTCACAAAAATAGAAAAAAAACCCTAAAATCCAAACAGCCAAAGCAATCCTAAGCAAAAACAAAAACAAACAAACAAACAAAAACAAAGCTGGCAGCATCACACTACCTGACTTCAAAATATACGACAAAGCTATGGTAACTACATGGCATGATATTGCATAAAAATAGACGCATAGACATAGAGAACCTAGAAATCACATACTTATAAAATTGTGCTTCTGCTCTTTAAGAAGAAATGTGGATAGATATGTTATGGGTAACCAATAGTGACTGCCACAGTGGTTGTATAAATTCCTGCTCCTGTAGAAGTGTGTGTGTTTGTGTTTGTATGTGTTTTACTTGCTAATATAAGGTTTTGTTTTTCAGTCATTTTGGAAGTTTGTTGTATGTTATAGGTAAACTCTGGTTCACATTCACATTTTCATGATAAATGGTTAAGCATTTTTTCCATATATTTATGGCCATCTGAGTCTCCTCTTCTGTGAACTATGTTTATGTTTTTGTTCTCTTTTGATATTTCTTATCTACCTGAGGAGCTCTTTATAGTCTAGATATGAATTATTTTGTAAGATGTATGCATCACAGATATTTTCTCCCAGTCTGTGTGCTATGGACTGAATGTTTGTGTCCCCAAAAAACTCCTATGTTGAAATCCAATCCTCCCACCCCCATCCTGCCTTCCAAAGTGATAGTATTTGGATCTGAGGCCATTGGAAAGTGATTATATCATGAGGGTGAATCCCTCATAAATAGGATTAGTGCTCTTGTAAAAAGTACTCCAGAGAGCCATCTTGTTTTTCTGCCATGTGAGGACATAGTGAGAAGATGGTGGTCTATAAACTAGAAAGTGGGCTCTCTTTGACTGGGACTGCTCAGCCTCCAGAAACTATGAGAAATAAATGTTGTTTAAGCCACTCAGTCTATGGTATTTTTTTATACAGCCAGAATGGACTAAGACACTGTAACTTATCTCTTAATTGTATTTTGGTGTCTTTTACGGAACACATGTTTTATTTAATGTTATAAAAAAAATGCATTTTGTCGTTTATGCCATTGCATCTAGCTTAAGAAAGCTTTCCTTACTGGAAGTCATAAATTCTCCTATCTTTTTCTAAAAGTCTTAAAGTTTTGCTCTTTGTATTTAAGTTTCTTTCATCTGAAGTATATTCCATGTAAATAGAGTGAGGCAGAGATCTTTCTGACTTTTTCCCATGTGACTAACCAATTATCCCGGCATTATTTGTTATTTTTTTATTTTACTCCTGAATTTTAATGTCACACTTGTCATACACCAAGTTATCAAATATGTGAATCTGTTCTGAGTTTTGTTTTGTTGGTCTATTAATTTTATTTCTGACACAATAATACAGTTGTATAATTACAACATTAGAATATCAATATCTGGTAAAGTAATATCAGTGAAACTGATTTATGAATTGCATGTAAAAATTTTAAGGCCACCATGTCAATGTAATTAGCACTGGCCTACAGATAACCTATTGATTTGACCACTTTGCTCTTGTATGTAGAAACTTTGCTTAACTCTCCTATTCCAGTTCTTCAGCTGTACAATTATTGGATTTTCTATAAAAAAAAATATTCAAATAATCAATATTTGATCTTCCCTAATCCATATAACTGGTTATTTCTTTCTTATTTCATTGGTTAGGAACTCCAGAGCAATGATGATTATTGGTGGAGATAATAAGTATTAATGCTTGTTCCTAATGTTAATGGGAATTTTATAACTCTCATACATTATTTCTAGGATAAATCATATTTGATCATAATGCATTTTTTAAAATGCTTGATTCAATTTGTCAACATCTTATGATACTTGCATGTACTCATAAGGAAGATTAACCTATAATTTTTCTTTCTCTTATTTTTCTAGTTCAGCTAACTAGAATATATTAACTTCATGAGAGAAACTACAGAATTTTCCTCTTTTTCTGTATTTTGTAGCATTTTGTGCTAAAGAGATTTTTCTGTGCTTTGAATGTTTGTTGGTAATCCCTGTGTAAAATTTTCTAGACTTACTGTTATTTATTTTGGGTAGGTTTTTGCTTACTAATTCAATTTTTCCAAAGGCTTTCTCCTCAGACATAGATTTACTCTTGAGTCAATTTTGGTAATTTAAATTTTTAGTGATGCCCACCTGCAAAGGGCCAGGTCTGGCATACAGTTTGAAATTTGCTGCCAGAGTCCCATTTTGCAATCCCGAACTTCTGGTGGAGACTGGGGTGTCCATGGCCCACTACCCAGTGGCGAGTAAACTCTTTGCTCCCAGACTGTTGCAAGAAGCTTAAAGGATGGCCTCCAGATCTGGAACAATTATGTTCTCATATTAATAAAAAGATTAACAATATTTTTAAAAATCTGTCATTGAGAAACTGGCCAAGAACCTACCTTGAAGAATATCTTAATAGGAGATGAGATCACTGTAAGAAATGAACTTCTAAATAAATTTGAATAGGAAATTCAGTATTAAGAACAAACCAACAATTCACTCAAGGAACTCTGTAAATCTCTTGAAGAATATTATAAAATGTGGAATATCTCAAAGAAAACTTTCCTTCCCATGTGCCTCAAATAACAGGTCTCAAACTCCTAGCCTCAATCAGTCCTCCCACCTCAGCCTCCCAAAGTGCTGGGATTACAGGTGTGAGCCACTGTCCCCAGCCATAATTTATTTATATTTTATTTCTTTAGCTTTTTCATCTTCTATCCTGTTTCATATAAAATTCAAACTTTTTTGGATAAATTTTTTAATCAAATGCTTCCGTTTAAGTTAGTTTTAGCATTTATTTTTATAAAATTTTAGCATGTAATTTTAAAATAATTTTTTATATTTTAAGATCATACCTGTCCATGTGACTCCAATTCAGCTGTAAAAGATCTGAGAAATATTTGATCTGTTGTCCAGGAAGAAAAGGAGAGGAGGAACATTCTTCTATCATTTCACTCTTACCTGTATATGAAGAATATACTTACCTCCCCCGAAGGAGGACAATCTGAAGTCCCTTCTAGTTAGTGCATTCAGCTCAAAGCCCAAGACATTCAAGAAATGTGTCATCTTCTCCAATACGTGAATGTTTGAATTCTCCTGAAATAAAATCCCATGAACTGAAGAAATATCCTGTCTTTACCACCACTCCCATATACACCTACATGTGAGGGTGCATGCATGCACATGAACACACACACATCTAATATACAAAATGAATCAAGGACAGAAGTAGCTATAATAGGAATCTGATTAGTAAGGGTAGGAATGGAAGGCAAGCAACAGTAACCAGTGCATATAGATCTTAAACAACAGATCGCCAAACACACTGCAGAATGATAAGAGGGTCTGAAATGTAATACATCAAGTGTTAATGTGCCAGACCTAGAAGTGGCAAATGTCACTTGGACATATTCCACTGGCTAAAACTCAGTTACATAGGCCCAGTAAAATGATAAAAAGCCTATGTAAGTTTTGGTTGTATGCCAAAAAAGAAGAGGACAAAATGGATATTGATGTGCACTAACAGTCTGTGTCATCATGGTGACATGATCCTTCTATCATGAAGTAATCAACCTCTTTAGAGAAAAATCATTATTAGACTTAAAGTTGTTTTCTAATATCAATATTACTGTCAGATCTATTTTGGTCCGGTTCCTGGTGTACAGTTTTTCAACCTATGACAGTAAGTTCTCAACGTTGTTGATAGGGTCTTGGAAACTTCAACTTCAAGTGAGATGCCATGTAACAAAACCAGTTTTACTATAGGCTAATTAATATAAACAAGAATTAGTTCCTATGGCATATTTGTATCACAAAAACATCAACAAATTTCTAAGTGAAGACTTGAAACACTTCTAATGTTGAATATTGATATAAATGTAAGCTATACATACATTTAAGAAAAATCAACAAAAATAAGTAAGCAATTTGTCCAATTTTTGGTGAATCAGTGAGTGACAGCCGTCATCCTGGTGGTAGGTTAAATCAAGAAATAAATGTTTGTAAAGTGAAAATTGTCAGGAGTACCTCCTACCAACACACAGTTCAAAAACAAACAATATTCAATAAGGCAGACTCTCTAAGCACTTTCATACAACATTTCTTATTATTTTGCATTTGTATGATTATCAAATACTTTATATTTTATCTTATAATAATTTGTATTCATTTATTCTTTCATTTTCCAACCCACTTACTCCAGTTCAGGTTACAGGAGGCCAAAGCCCATTCAGCAGTTCAGGATACAAGGTGGGAAGCAACCCTGGCCATGACACCATCCCAACACAGGGCACACTCATACATATACCCACACTCACCTTGACTGAGATCGCTGACACATGCCCACCCACCTGAAATACACATCTTCAGGATGTGGGAAGAAACTGGAGTACCTGGAGAAAATCCACACAGACATGGGGAAAAGGTGCAAATTTCACAAAGACATTAGCCTCAACCATGAATTAATTTTTTTTCCCATCAACATTATAACAAAGTAACATTATCTGAGCACCTGATATAATTTCAGTCTTTTGAGATTATTACTATTATGAGACAAAATCTCACTTTGTAGCCCTGGGTAGAATGTAGTGGTGCAACCTCGGCTCACCGCAACTTTCATCTCTGGGTTCAAGTGATTCTCATGCCTCAGCCTCCAGAGTAGCTGGGATTACAGGTGTGTGCCACCATGCTTGGCCAATTTTTGTATTTTTAGTAGAGATGGGGTCTTACCATGTTAGCCAGGCTGATCTCGAACTATTGAGCTCAAGCTATTCACCCGCTTCAGCCTCCCAAACTGCTGCGACTACAGGCAAGAGCCACTGCGCCCAGCCTCTTGAGATTATTATATTTTGGGTGTGATTCTTTAAAAAAGCATATAGCCTAAACTTAGTTTTTTTAATCCAATCTGGGAATCTCTGTATTTTTCAGGTGAATTTAATCCATTTTCAGTTTTACAAGTTTGATACTAGAAAAGAGTTATTTTCAAAGAGCAAAACTATCATTCAAGATGTATTGTGAAATAAACATTTCTCAGAATAAGACAGAATGTACCACTTGCAGACCCTCTTTAAAATAACTGCTGAAGTATGCAGAATGCAAAAAGCAATGTCTGTAAAAAATAATACTTGGTGAACATGTTGATAAATCTTATTAAATACCGTGAAAAAAGATGAATTTGGGGGTTCTTAATGACAACTTGAAATATGGTACAATTAAAGATAGGAGTGGGATGTTAAACTTAAAATATTTCAGGGTACTTGAGTTTGAAACGAACTAAATAGAAATATTGATGGGAGATGTGTGCTACAGAGACAGACTTAGCAACTATCAATAAAAGAGAAGAAAATCACAGAAATGTTTTTGGATGAAGTGCTTTCCCCAGCAGGGAAGTGAATCTAACTAATCCTAGGTAATGTAATGAAGTAGGCAAATGACTCTTCTACAGGCTCTTGCCTGTAATCCCAGCACTTTGGGAAGCTGAAGAGGGTGAAAAGAACCAAAATGTACAATGTCTCAAACACAATAAAAGTTTGTTTTTCTTACACATGAACAGACCAACATAACTCTAAGTTAGTGGGTGAAGCTGGAGGTGATTCTGCTCCACACAATCATTTGGGGACCCAATCTGAAGGAGGTTTTATCTACCACAGATAACTTCCAGGGTCACTCTAAACAAAAACATTCAGCCAATGAAAAGGAGAAGAGCATGTCTGAACATGTTGTGCCTTTTCTCAGTGAATAATGTCAAGGGGCACATGATATCAATGTGTCTCAAGGGTAACATAATCAGTACTGAGATGTATCAATCATGTGTCTTCTACTATGACACACTGAGAAAGACAGAAAGACTGCTGTCCTAGTCTTGCAAAAAATGCCTAAACCGAATGTGATTATGAGGAAACATCAAACACATACTGAGGGACATTCTTCAAAATACCTGACCATCTGCTGTCAGTGAGTACAAGAAAAAACAAAAACGAACCTGACCAGTTATCTTTAAAAGTATCAAAGTTATGGAAGACAGGGAACTGAAAGTCAAGGAAAGACTGAGGAACTCTTACAGATTGGAAGAGACCAAGGAGACACGACACCTAAATGCAATGTGTGGATCAGATAAAAACATTAGGGAAATAAATAATGAAATTTGAATGAGATCTATAAATTAGTTAATATTTTCTCAATATTTCCTGCTTGATACTTGCTGTGTGGTAAGATGCTAAGACTAGTTTGATGAAGTAAATATAGGAATTCTGTGTCATACTTAGTAACTTTTTTCTAATCTTGAACTTTTTTCAAAATGAAAAGCTTTTTAAAGAAATGAATAAGCAAATAAAGTCCCATCATGTTCCCATGTATATGAAAAGCTGTTACCAGAAATAAAAAAGATTGTGAAGTCCACTTAATAGGTGCCACTACCCTTCCTGTTCTTCATTCTGTACCTAAAGTATCATATTAGCCACATCTGAATGAATTTATTTATAACTAGGATGGCCCCTACCCTTTTTGGAGTGTAAATAATACACTTCAGAGTGTAAATGTTTAACCCACTTTCTGCTATGTCAGGCCTCAAGATTACAAATCTAACTTCTTTCATAACAATTCCAGTTGTGCTTCTAATATTCCCCTTAGATCCATTAGTGTTGGGAAAGACAGAGAATTTCAGTCCAGCTTTGCTTTGACTACAGCAGAGTAACATTCACAGTGCTGGTGAGTCATAGCAAAGCATGGAAGTTGGTAATACCCTGGCCTCTCTGGTGCCTCAGGTTCAAATGTGGACCAACCGTGCCACTTAAGGATTATCAAATCTTGACCGCTTCTCATCCAGGATTATATTGAATAAATGGAAATTTCAACTGAACTGGCTAGGGTACTTCGACTTAACAGACATGAAACAGTTGAGATTAGGGTTGGAGTGGCTAGCACTTTTGAACACAAAATGATATGACAACACATTGTTTTATCCAGAAATGATACAACAAGCTCAGAAGTTAGGCAATAGTGAAGACTCTCAGGCAGAAAGACAAGGCCACAGGGAGGAAGTTGGCAACTGTTCTCAGTCACAAAGAAAGAAGGAAATCACAAGTGTATTCTCTCATGGGGCACTTTGTCTAGGGCACTTAACAAATTAGTTAAGGTAAGTTAACTGCCTAACAGCTATAAGAAGTTGACCCAAAATAATGATTCAAATATAATGAAAATTTATTTCTCTTATACATAAGCAGACCAAGGCAGCTGAAGGTTTTCATGTAGCATTGTTTGTTTGTTTTTTGGTCCACCACAGTCATCCAGGGACCAGGACTAAAGGAGACTGCTGACTTGCATACACATCTTCCAAGAACACACTGGGCATCAACATCCAACAAGCGAAAAAAGGAAGGAGCATGTAGGATGCCATGGACCTGGTCTAAAAATGACACACAGTACTTTCTCTAATATTCCACTGGCTGGATTTCATCTTAATGGGTATACCTAACTGCAGGGAATTCATACCTAACTGCAGCGAATTCATACCTAACTGCAAGGAATTCATACCTAACTGCAAGGTAATGTTTAGTGGTTCATCCAAGAATAAAAGGAAAAGGGTCTAGTAAACAGTGGTTAGCCTGTGCCAAAAACTTCCATATATACATGCTTGTAAACAATAATATTTTTAGTGTTTCTGCCCATACTCAAGGAAAAATTTAAGAGTATATACAACAGTCTTTGCTCTCTAGAAGGCTACAGGTTACTATGGATTATAGATGTTGGGAGGAGGTGGAAGTAGTCTATTTACTCCTACTCTTCTTAAGGTATTATTTTTACTTTGTAATAGATAGGGGAGGGGAGAAGACTCATATAGAACAACTGTGCCTCTTAAGAGAGTGGTTCTCTTTTAAGAGAAGAACAAATCACCAGACAGTGTTTGTGCTTTCATCAGATTGCAGGCCCCTAAAAACCTGGTTCCTCTTCACTGCCTTTTTTTAAATTCACCTTTCCTACCCTACTGCAATGACCTTGTATGTTTGTAGAAAGTATCTTTAGCATCATGAAATCAGTGTGAGGGATTCACCCCTGTCCAGCCCATCAGATTTTCCTTTGTGTGTGTGTGTTTGTCTGTGTGCGTGTGGTTGCTCTTTTTGATTTTTCTTTCTCTTTTTTTTTTTTTTTTTGAGACAGTTTCATTCTGTCACCCAGGCTGGAGTGCAGTGTTGCAATCTTGGCTCACTGCAACCTCTGCCTCCCAGGTTTAAGCGATCCTCTCACCTTGGCCACCCGAGTAGCTGGGATTACAGGCATATGACACCATACCCAGCTAATTTTTTTGTAGTTTTAGTAGAGATGGGGTCTCACCATGTTGGCCAGGCTGGTCTTGAACTCCTGACCTCAAGTGATACACTCTCCTCGGCCTCCAAAAGTGCTAGGATTACAGGCTTGAGCACTGCATCCAGCCACTCTTTTTGATTTCTTACAGTTCATATGAAGAGAAACAAATTTGTGCAATGAAATGTCCATGAAACAATTTAAACCCTTCACAAATTTTAGAAAGAAACTAAGGACAGGGATTTTTTTTATGTAACACTAACCCCAAAGCATTATCTTTATACACTAAATGCAGTATGCTATAGTAAGAATAAAGTCAAATACAGGCTATGTATATATTAAGATGCTAAGTGGAAAAAAGTTTGTTTCTTCAACTGATAACCTCTCTGTCTCCTGATCATTCCATTCTTAAATCCCAAGGTGCACTGAATTCAGAATTAGAAGACTCAGTTTTAGTTCTTGCTCTGCCACTCTGGCAACTACGAATTTTGGCAAACTAATTTTTCTATATGTATATCTTCATCTGTAAAATGGGAATAAGAACTGCTTTGCCTCACCAGGGTTTTGTCAAGTAGAAATGAGAAGCAACATTCACCTGACAACTTTATAAGTCACTTTACACATTACATTTTTGCACAATCACTAATGATCTTAGGATCAGAGTGTCAAGGATCCAACCCAGGGTGTTTTCTTATTCCTGACATTACCTCATGCTCTTGGCCATGGTTGTTGACCTTCAGGGCATTGTGCCCGAGATACCTTTTTGTGTTTTTATTCCGTTCCTGGTTTCCTGCTAGGATGTTTTTTTACTTCTGTTTTTTACAAAAAAATGTTGTTCTTTGGCAAATGTATTTCAGTTTATTGTGATGTTTATATTTTACACAAAATATAAATCTATTTTATTCAATTTAAAAATCAATTCATTTCAAAATGATTAAGAAATTTTAAAAGACCAATAGGTTTCAAAAAGTATTGCAAGAACTCAGAAGGTAGAGCAAAAAAAAGGAAATCCATTACTGCATCTTAATTATGAAAAAGTTGTTTTTTGACAAAATTTTGCTAATATGAAAACATTATAATGAAAGAAAAACTAAGTTTCATCATATAGTCTGTGGTAATAGGTAAAAATGTGTATGTAAATCTAATTTTTATAAGGTAATGAAAAAATATGAAAAAAACATTTTTTTCATGCTCACTAATGTTCCTTTATTTTCAGATCCCTGTTGTAGAGCTATTGGTTTACTCAGACTTTCCCTACAAAATAGTCACCATCTGCCTGATTAGTCTGTTTCCTTGGTATCCTGCCCATTCTTGTTACTTGAGTTTCTGCTCTATTTCAAGAAATGCACTCATTAGGGATGGTCACATCTGTGATCATTTGAAAAGAAGTATACATATTCAAAAAACATCTAATAGCACCTTGGCATTTCATTAAATATAAACAAGAAAAGTCTCTTTTTGACTGCCTTACTCTTAAATGCTAACAAAATATAGCATGATCTTTGAGGTCCCTTCCCGCATTTGGAAATTCCATGGGACTAAAATAAAAAAAAGAAGTGCTCAACACAACTCGGACATTTTCATTATATACACATTTATAAGCACATACAGAGAAAAAATGCCATCTGTTAAAAATAGTTAACTGAATACTAGCTGAGGATAAAAAATGTAAAACAGGTATATTTGCTTATTCTGATGACTATTTATATCTGGCTATCTCCTAAAACTCCGGAAGTGATAAGACAATACAAATAAACAGTATAGACACTTTTCCCCTTAAACTCTCTTAGAATGTATGCTCCACGTGGACTAGAATTTTTATCTGTTTTTTCACTAATGGGTGCTAAGTAACAGGACACATAGTTAAATATCTGGCTGTTTTGGGCAGAATTCTAAGATGGCCCTCCAAGATTCCCAGCCTCTGATGTATTCTCCTACTTATTCAAACACTAATCTAAGAATTGCTGTGAAGAGATTTTAGGGGTGTAATTAATGTTCCAAATCATTGACCTTAAGAAAGGGAGATCATCCTGGTGGGCCTGACCTAATCCCATGAGTCTTTAAAAACTCAGTGTTTCTCTGCTGATTTCAGAAGTCAGAGAGAAGCATATGACACGTTCAGAAGAAAGGAACTGCCATATTGTGGACAAGGTCACATGGCAGGGAATGGTGGGCAGCCTCTAGAAGCTAAGAGCAACCCCCAGCTGACAGCCAGCAAGACATCAGAGACTTCAGTCCTACTGCCCCAGAAACTGAATTCTGCCAACAACCTGGACGAGCCTGGACAGAAACCTGAGCCCAGAGTGAGAAATGCAGCCCCAGCCAACACCTGGATTTCAGCCTGATGAGACCCTGAGGAGAGAATCCAGTCATGTTGCATCTGGAATTCTGACCTAGAGAACTGTGAGTTTGTAAATTTGTGTTGTTTTAAGTTGCTAAGTTTGTGAAAATTTGTGATGCAGCAATAGAAAACTGATATCCTGTGCCTGGCGTGGTGGGTCATGCCTGTAATCCCAGCACTTTGTGGGGCTGAGGCGGGCAGATCACAAGGTCAGACGTTCGAGACCAGCCTGGCCAACATGGCGAAACCTCATCTCTACTAAAAATACAAAAATTAGCCGGGCATGGTGGCACGCACCTGTAATCCCAACTACTCAGGAGGCTGAGGCAGGAGAATCAATTGAACCTGGGAGGCAGAGGTTGCAGTGAGCCGAGATTGTGCCACCATACTCCATCCTGGGTGACAGAGTGAGACTCCGTCTCAAAAAAAACAAAAACAAACAAACAAAAAAAACTGATATCCTGTCCTATAGTAGGCATTTAATAAATATATGTGGAATGAATGAATGAATGAATGAAAGAAATTTTGATATGTTACATGGTAAAGGTAAGATAATTATAAGAAAGGCAAAATATGAAACTATACTTGTGATTTTAGAACTAAGTTCTGGATAGTTTTAATAACCACATATCTTGTATTATTTATATACATTCATGTGACATTAATATATCATCTTTAAATAAAAAATACTAAAATAAAAAACAATACATGAAAAAGGCATGTGTAATGTATATTATATATATTTGCATTAATATTTTACATTTAAATGAAAGAAGCTTAGAGTAAATTAGTCTACAAACCCACCTCAAATTTATTTTGAATGTAGGAAGAATATCATTTATACTTACATTTTTAGTTCATGAAACATAATTTACTTCACTTAGAATAGCTATACTATTAAATTTATGGTTGGACTTGCAATTAATACTTCGGAACTTTACCCTATCTTCCTTTTAAATATGGTGTATAAAATTGGAAAAGATTCAAATAAATATACAATCAATGTTCTCAGAAATCAGTGTATAAGGTTTCAGAAATTCACTAATTAAAGTTTGACTAAATGGTTAGGAAGAAAAATCAGCATGGATGTCATGATGTTACATAGAAAGTAAGGTTATAGGATCCAGAAGGAACAGTAAAAAAAATAATGTGTCGTGCTTTTTAAATACTTTGGCTTCTGTAGTGTATAGAAGATGCTTGATGGTCTTAACAGTATTTATTTATACATCATTGCTTTTCAAAAAGGATTTGAGGTGACTTAACATAAATCATTCACAAAGTTGAATAAACACAAATAAAAAAATAAAATGATAAAAAGAAGAAGCCAAAATGTTAATTTTAATGTCTAAAATAGTTGTTACTTAATTGAGCATTAAATTGGGCTTGGGCTACATATGCTGTCAGTAAGAAGATTACTATTTAAAAATATTAAGCAAAAATTATCAGTGGTCTTACAATTTCCCTTTGATCTGGCAACTCTTATGACCTCTTGTATTTTCCACAAAAAAAAAAAAAAAAAAAAAGGATTGCTTGAGCCCAGGAGTTTGAGACCAGCCTGAGCAACATAGCAAAACTCCAACTCTAAAAAAAAAATTTAATAAAATAAGTATGAGACAATGTCAAGTGCTGGAGAAGATGTGGAGAAACTGGAGTTTATGTTTGTTTCTCAGCCTGTAAATTGAAACAACACTTTAGAAAACTATTTGGCAATATCTAGTAAAGCTGAACATGTATAACATAAATTCAAGCAATTTCTTAATTAAAAAAATTTTTTGAGACAGGCTCACTCTGTCACCCTGGGTGGAGTGCAGTACACAAACACGGTTCACTGCAGCCTTGACCTGCTGGGCTCAAGCAATTCTCCCACCTCAGCCTCCTGAGTAGCTGAGACCACAGGTGCATGCTACCACACCTGGCTAGATTCTTTTTTTTTTTTTTTTTTTTTTTTAGAGGTGGGGTCTTGTCATGTTGCCCAGGCTGATCTCAAATTCTTGGGCTCAAGCAATCCTCCTGCCTTGGCTTCCCAAAGTGTTCAGATTACAAGTGTGAGCCACTGCACCCAGACCAAGAAATTTTAACCCTAACTAAATACCCAAAAAAAGTGTATATATGTTCCACAAAGGACATGGGTAAGAATGTTTATAGCAGCAGTATTTGTAATAGCCAGAAACTGGAAACAAGCCAAACATCTATCTACAGCAGAAGAGACTATTGTTTATTTATACAATAAACTACAATATAGCAATAAAATGAATGAGCTACAACAACAGAAATCAATTTCACAAACATAATACTGAGATAAAGAATACAGACACAAAAGAGAATATTTGGTATGAGTCCATTTATATGAAGTTCAGAAGTAAGCAAAGCTAATCTCTGGTGTTGGAAGTCAGGTTAGTGATTACCATTAGGGTAAGCGAGGTAGGAACTGGAAAGAAGTTTCTGAGATTCTGTCATTGTTTTATTTATTGACCTGGTGCTGATTTCTTGGGAGCACTTCTTTTACGAAAATCAATTGAGCAGTACATTATGATTTGTATACTTCTGTGCATATATAAATGAAATTGTATTCAAAAGTAAAACTAAAGCACCATCCATCCCACCACCAAAAAAACCCACTTAATTAATTTGTCATTATCTAAAATGTTGATTAACTGAAAATTAACATTTAAAAGGTTGTTAAACCTATTGCTGAAACTTCAGGAAAAAATAAGAGTATTAAATACCGATTTGAAATTTAAAAGCATGCAAATTATAAACTATAGATCTCTCTGTCTCACACATACATACACACACACACACACACACACACACACACACAAGCCCACACACACCCATGGTTTCATACCTTTATGTGTAGTACCAAAGATTATTATTCATAATTAATATCCGAACATCAATTTGCACTTCAGGAAAAAATAAGAGTATTAAATACCCATTTGAAATTTAAAAGCATGCAAATTATAAACTATAGATCTCTCTGTCTCACACATACACACACACACACACACATACACACACACATGCCCACACACACCATGGTTTCATACCTTTATGTGTAGTACCAAAGATGATTATTCATAATTAATATCCGAACATCAATTTGCATTTTCAACATGTAACCAAAAGCATTCTCAACTGAATTATATGATTAACTAAGATTGAGGAAAAGGTTATGGTCTGTCAGTGATAATTAATCTTCTAATAAGTTATTCTAAAAAATTAAAATGATAACCCAAATGCAATTTATCAACGAATCCATACCAGAGGCCATTAAACCTAAGACTTAGATAATTAAGGCCAAAAAATATATAAATTGAGGGTATCAGTGTCTAAAAATTCAAAAGCAGGATATGATACAAATATTTAATATATAAGTTAAAGATTGCAGATTATAATAAAGTTATAGGTGCTGTGCTAATTTTCTTTTGCTATATAACAAATTGTCACAAATTTAACAAATTGAGGGCCTTCCTCAATTTGCTTTTCCCTCCTTTCCACTACTTCTTTTTACAAATTATCCCCTTTAGTTCAGCTTTTCTTTTATTATTATCATTAGATTATATTATTTTTTAAAAAAATTTTATTTTATTTTAGGTTCTGGGATATATGTGCAGGACATACAGGTTTGTTACATAGGTAAATGTGTGCCATGGCAGTTGGCTCCACCTATGAACCCATCACCCAGGTATTAAGCCCCATATGCATTAGTTATTTATCCTAATGGTCTCCTGCCGCGCCCCCCACCCCCCGCGCCACCCCCCATCCCCCCACACAGGCCCCAGTTTGGGTTCTTCCCCTTTTCAATACTTACTTTTACTACTTCTGTTACGGGAGCTTTGCAGTGTCACTTTTCCTGACAGAAACCTCTGTGGTTGGTGGCACCTTTGCCTGAGTTCTTGTCCTGCATCCAGGAAGAATGAGGTTCGCAGTCAGTGGGGTGAACAAGACCAAGAGGAGCTTTACTGAGTGTTAAAACAGCTCAGAGGAGGCCCTGGAGAGGGTAGTTCCCCTGCAGCTGGTAGTCTTGTCCCCTCTAACGGCAGAGAGGGTAGGTCGTCTCTATTTTTTTTTTTTTTTTTTTTTTCCGAGACTGAGTCTCGCTCTTTCACCCAGGCTGGAGTGCAGTGGCCCATCTCGGCTCACTGCAACCTCCACCTCCAGGGTTCAAGGGATTCTCAATTCTCACGCCTCAGCCTCCCGAGTAGCTGGGATTACAGGCGCCTGCCACCACACCCAGCTAATTTTTGTATTTTCAGTAGAGGCAGGGTTTCCCCATATTGGCCAGGCTGGTCTCGAACTCCTGACAACCGTAGCTGCTCTCTGCAGCTGGTCATCAGGTCCTCTTTCCTGCGCTGACTGAGCCCAGGGCTTTTATAGGCCTTAGAGGGGGGAAGTGCATGCTGATTGGTCCATGGGCAGCCATGGGCGGGCCCAGGAAAAAGCACCATGAATCCCCCTCCCATCAGCAGGACTGGCCAACCTGCCCCCAGGCTGAGGCCTGCCCTGGCCTGAAGGTGGGACTTCACGGGTCACCCACCCACTTCCGCCCAGGAGCATGTCTGCTTCCCCTGGCATCCATGGCTGGCACCAAGGGGAACCTGCAGTGCCCAGGTACCCTCAGCTCCCCCTCAGCTTCCCCTCACGCTTCTCCACTCCCAAAGTCTGGAGAGGGCTGAGGTAGCAGGGGGCTGACGTGTCACCGCTGACCCGTGCACACACCCGGAGGGGATGTGACAGCACCCTAGCTCAGCCCCAACCCCAATCGGAGATCTGATTGGCGCCGGGAGTGGGGAGAGGCCAGGCAGCTGGAGCAGGTACCTCTGAGCCTGCGAGGGGAAGGGGGGCCTTCTCAGACCTCCTAAGAGTTCAGGGATGCCCCGCCTCTTGGGCGGGGCTCCTGCTACTCTGGGTTCCCAAGAGCACCGGGGCCGGAATGCAGCCCGCTTGGGTGGCTGCAGTTGTACCTGGAGAGCTCCCGCCTGGCCAACTTGGAAAGAGCAGGGCTCCCGGTTGTTCCCAGCTCCCACTGGCGCAGTGGGCACCCAGCCGCACCTCCTGGCAGCCAGGGACGGGGGCTCCAGGTCATCCCTTGACCTGCGCCACCATCTGGTATAGGGGCGAGCTTGCTATGAGCTACCCCTGTGTCCCAGCGCTCAGGGACTGGCTGGAGCACCGCCTGTGAGCTCAGCGCAACCATGCCAGGCCTTATCACCACGGCCCCCAAGGTAGCGGGCTGCAGGGAGCGGGGAGGGCGGAAGGTGGGCTGTACACCTCCTCCCCTTGCCGTGCCCAGCGTGATGGCAGCAGCCACATCAGACAGCCAGCGGCTGCCATCACTTCCATGCCGGTGCCTTTTTTTTTTTTTAAGACGGAATCTCACTCTGTCGCCCAGGCTGTAGTGCAGTGGTGCGATCTCGGCTCACTGCAACGTGCGCCTCCCAGGTTCAAGCGATTTTCTTGTCTCAGCCTCCTGAGTAGCTGAGACTACATGCGCGGGCCACCACACCCGGCTCATTTTTTCTATTTTTAGTAGAGACTGGGTTTCACCGTGTTAGCCAGGTTGGTCTCGATTTCGTGACCTTGTGATCCGCGATCCGCCTGCCTTGGCCTCCCAAAGTGCTGGAATTGCAGATGTGAGCCACCGCGCCTGGCCTCTTTTTTTTTTTTTTTTTTTTGAGGTGGAGTCTTCCGCCCAGGCTGGAGTACAGTGGCGCGATCTTGGCTCACTGCAACCTCCACCTCCGGGGTTCAAGCGATTCTCCTGCCTCAGCCTCTTCAGTAGCTGGGATCACAGGCACGCGCCACTACGCCTGGCTAATTTTTTTGTATTTTTAGTAGAGACGGGGTTCCACCATGTTGGCCAGGCTGATCTCGAACTCCTGACCTCATGATCTGCCCGCCTCGACCTCCCAAAGTGCTGGGATTACAGGTGTGAGCCACCGTGTCCAGCCCTGTGCCTATCTTTTTTACGTCTCTTCTTTTGGCTACGTTTCTCCCCACTACCTAATTACTACTCAGCTATGGAGGATCAGTATCATCTCATATCGTCTGTGAAGTCTTTCCTATTTCAACCCAGGATGCATTTCCATTTCTGACCTTTCACAGTACTTGTTATTTGTAACCTTTTTTAAAAAAAAAAAAAAACACATATTATCTGATAATATAGGCAGTTGATTTTTTTTGTAAGTACGTATGTGTCGAATAATATCTTGACCAGATCCCCAGCTCTTTTAGGAGCAAAACTGTTTATTTTGTGTCTCAGTACCCACAACCCTGACTTTAACATACATAAATGAATTTTCCTTCTTTCAGAATCATTTTCCTGTCTAATAACTAATCCCTGTAGACAAGTCATTATCATGTAGTTAAACCATTTTCTATACAAATTTTATTTTGAAAGTGAAAAGTAACTCGTAAAAAATTTACATTTGCTATTACTTAATACCCAAAATAGCAAGTTTTTAAAAAAAGATGTCTTGACGAAAGTTCTACAGAAAGTCTACAAAAATAACAAGCCCTCCATCCGGTGTATTTTTGTTTTCTCCAAAGTGCATTCTCTCCTGTTTTGTACCTCCAAAGCACTATGCCTTTGACACTGTAGTCACCCCATAATAACTATCCGTACTGAGCATTAACTTTGGCCCAGGCACTCTGCTCAGTATTTTGTGAATATTATCTCCAAACCTTACCCTCATGTTACTGTAGCCACTTTTACTCCTACTTCACTTAGAGAAACACAGACTTCCATTACCAGCAAAGTGCAATCTATATCTGAAAAACTTCCAATGAAACAACAAAAAATTGCTGGATAAAAATAACAAACCTACTTTTAAATGCATAGCTGAGCTTGCAAGAGAGTAAGGAAATCCCCAGAGGTCAAACGTGAAGACAAAACTAAAAACTAGATCTCAAAATGTGAATTGGTGCTGGACTTGTCTTAGGGTAGGGCAAAGGATGTGTTTTCATTCACATAGATATACAGGGAGGTAAAGCTCGGATGAGGCAAGGTAGAGGCTTAGAACTGAGGCCCTCTACAAAAAGATGGACTCACTAGAATCCAGTGAAAGTTGTGAAGTAAGAAAAAAAAAAAATGACACCAGGGGGCAGGAAAGTTTGTCATCTTACTACATTCTGGGTCCGAAAACAGTCTCCTCTTAGAATTTACCTCAGAGCAGCATTCAGATTTGAGATTAGAATTTACACTCTCTATAGGGCCTGAAGACCTTTAAGCCAAGAAATTCCAGTCTCAGTGCCAAGTCTCTACCTCTTATTCTTAGGCTTACTCTCCTCTCTGTGTCCATGAATATGAAAGCTAATAATACTCACGGGGAGCCTTGTAGAAGCAAATACCAAATCACTCTAAGAAGTGACCCTCTTTTGCCCTGGTAATATTTTTGCTTTGAAATTCATTTTTCATCCTTATTTTGATTAGTATTGGCAGGGTATATCTTTTCCTATCCTTTTCTTTTTTAATTATGCCTTATTTAAAGTAGGTTTTTTTGTAGATAGAATATAGTTGGATTTTGCTTTTTTGTCCAATCTGTTAATGTGTGCCTTGTCATTAGGGTGTTGACTTCAGGGGGACCTTCCACAGATCTCTTGAATTCTCTTTTTACATAGCTTTCTCCTTCTTAATACTCTGATCTATAAACTCTGGTCTCCTTGGCCTTTCCATATTTCCACTTCCATCTCCTCACTTCAGAAAACCTGGCAGTCTCTTTCTATGCACCCTTTTCTTGGAAATCCTCATTTGTTTCCCATCTCTCCTTGGAGCTCTCTTTATGTTCCTATCTCTTAGGAATCATTGTCTTTTTTGCTCAATGTTGGCTGTCTTTAAAAACAGTTGTTTCATATATTCTGTCCAGATTTTTTGTTGTTTCAGGCAGAAGGGTAAATCCAGTCCCTGTTTTTTCGTCTTGCTTAGATGTGGAAGTATAAACTATTCTAGAAGGACACACCATGCAGGATTCAAACAGATAACACTGTGGTTAAAATGTACTCACAATCCAAAGTTACAAAACATGTGAAATAGTCTGTTGTGAGGTAAGGTCAATAAATACAACAAACAACATGTTTAGACCCCCCAAAAAACTTTAGAAAATAGAATTATTAGATATTAACTATGAAGTGAGTATGTTTCAAATGATTCAAGATATGAAATAAAAAATGGAAAAAAGAACATTATATTTTCAAATGATACCAGGGAATATTGAGAAAATACCAAATAGAATTTCTAGAACTAAAAAAAAGTCATTAAAATTACATAGATAGAAATAAAAGTTCATTAAGTTTTATTTGCCTAAAATCACCCCACTCTGCATGCTAGATCTGAAACACAAGCTGTTCTAGGTAAAAACAATGCCTATGATCTTTTTATTATACTTTGTCTTGAATTTAGTGAAAAAAATAATGAGCAATGAGGGAATTTAATATATGTCTCCTGCCAATCATTCCATTTAACCTTAATATTTGAGTCATTAATAAAATAACATCTTTATAATGGTGACCTTAAGGAACAGCATTAATACACACACTTTAGGTTAACTTATGTAAAGTTTATATAGAACTAAAACTTGAATAAAACTGGGCTTACTTTATTTCAACCTCAGATCAGTGTCAATTTAGAAACACATCCCAAATAAATACAAATATGACTGTAAAACCTAATCATATATATTCTAATTACCCTTCAGAACTTTGTAAAAATAATCTTTATAATCTTCTTTTTACCAGGGTTTCTTTTCTCTCCTGCCTACCAAAATAAAACAACAATAAAAAGACACAACGCTGCTCTCCACCTTTAGCTTGTTTTTTCTTCTATTTCTTCCTTCGTTGCCCTCTCTTTATTATATAAAGCAAGCCAGTCTTATTCAGTTTCTTTCATTTACATCTTTGCAAAGTGCTGGAAAACAAGTTTTGATTTTTTTTTTTTTTTTGTAGAAGAATGGGATAAGAATAAACATGATATAACTTTTGGCTTGAATTACCAACAAGAAGGATCTGGTTGGGAACAAAGCACATCACGTTCTCAGAAACCTTTCCTCTTGTTCATTTAATTATACTTTTGTAGAAGTGAATCCTGGTGAAAATAAAGCTATATGATTGGAAAAATCTGAGTGAGAATTGAATACAAATACGGCTTTAATGAACATCAAGCTTTTTCAGTCTTAGTTCACTTCAAATAAGGAATATGTGAATCTTAGAGTTGAAATGGCAATCAGGTTTGTTTATTTATTTTGGTCCTTACTAATCTAAATGCCATACTGTTTTTAAAAGCTAAATTTGCTTTAACAGCTCAAAACTATAGTGCAGAGAAAGACTCTTTGTTAACAAAAATAATAAATACCTAAGATACTATGACATAATGTCCCAAAATTTGGGATGTAATATTGACTCGTAACAACTAGTCATCCACACTAATAGAGTGTTGTGATTCGACTTCTAACGGAAAGGCATTCTGTTTTCTGGAATATTTTGTAGATGTCTTCAGATCCAGTTTGTACTATCCTTCATGCTTTTCCTTCTTTTCGGCTGGACATGAGTTATTTCCAAATACTTGAGAATTGGTAACTTTTTTTACCAGTTGTTGGTTGATTTGAATGCATCTTTCTGAGGCGAGTCCTCTTCACCTCCCGCTGGAAACTTTTCTCTGATTTGTCTAAGGATCTTTACACAAAGTCAGGTATAAATGACCAACAAAATTTTAAAGCATTTCTCTTTTTATTATGGGATTTTTTCAAACATACAGAAAAGGTAGAATGAATACTGTGTGTACCATCACCTAGCTTTAACAAGTATCAATATTTTGTCAGTTTTATAATAAATTATCTCTTCTCAAATGTATTTGATAAGGATACATATTATTTTAAGCAGATCTTCTTGTAACCCCATGTTCCTAACTTGGATCATACCTTTAAGTAGTTGTGTTCTATGTCTGCGGATAAAAAAAATCATCATCTACTCAGAGGAAAAGGAGATTAATGAAGTGTATCTCCTCCAGAGAAGTGATTCCTTCCTTCTTTAAATAATATAATGTTTAGGAAGGGCACAGCAGCTCACGCCTGTAATCCCAGCATCTTGGGAGGCTGAGGCGGGTGGCACCTGAGGTCAGGAATTTGAGACCAGCCTGGCCGACGTGACAAAAGCCCACCTCTACTAAAAATACAAAAATTAGCCAGGCATGGTGGTGGGCACCTATAATCCCAGCTACTCGGGAGGCTGAGGCAGGAGAATCGCTTGAACCTGGGAGGTGGAGGTTGTAGTGAGCTGAGATCGCACCACTGCACTCCAGTCTGGGCAACAGAGCAAGGCTCCATCTCAAAAAAAAAAAAAAATATATATATATATATAAATATATAATACTATAAATATATAATATATTTATATATGTATATATGAAATATATAATATATAATATGTTTATATACGTATATATAATATATAATATGTTTATATACGTATATATAATATATAATATGTTTATATACGTATATATAATATATAATATATTATATATTATATATATAATATTATATATTATATATATAATATAATATTATATATATATATTATATAATATTATATATTATATATTATATATTATAATATATAATATATTTATATATTATATATACATATATAATATATTATATATGTATATATAATATATAATATATTTATATATGTATATATAATATATAATATATTTATATATTGTATATAATATATAATATATTATATATGTATATATAATATAATATATAATATATTTATATATGTATATATTATATTATATATATATAAATTTAATATATATATTTTGTAAAGTTTAACTACAGAAGGCCTGCATTTAACTTTTCAAAAGTTGTGGAGCTAGAAATTTCTTTGACGAGAAAAAAAGATTTTAATCAAATTTTGGATAGATCATTATATTTCTCACATATTTGTGGAGTTTTCTCTTTTCCACCTTGGTATTTTCACTCCAAAGTGGATGTTTGTATGGGGTGGAGAAAGAGAGAGTAATTTCAAGCAGGTTGTTCTTGATCTGTCATTACCCAAACTTTTAAATCTAACAAAAGCTTTTCCTGAATGCTAGAGATAATTAAAATATGAAAGTCCTAATGTTATTTCCTCCTTTTAATAATATCTCACTGCTGAGAGTGAAAAATTTGTTTAAAGTTGAATAACTGGGTAATGGGAGAAAAAGCAAAGATAATAACTAAGTGCATGAAAGGATAAAGTTATATAAAGGGGGAAAAAGATAGATAACTATACACCAAAATAAATTCCAGGTGAATCAAATATTTAAGCAACATGAAAATTGAAACCAAAAAAGCACCAGAAGATAACTTGAGAGAGTTTCTAAAAATAGTCTTGTAATAGAGGTGTTTTTAACTATGACACAAGTCTAGAAGCCATGAAGGAACCCAACTGGATCACATGGCCGTTTAGTTGCAAGGTTAGCTGGGAAAAGTTCAGTTAGCAAGAAAGGAGATGGGAAGAGGATTCTGGATAAGCAACTAACAGAATCTTCTATAATCACTGTGTTATTTCCCTGTAGAATTCTTTTTTTTTTTTTTTTTTTTTTTTTTGAGGCAAAGTCTCACTCTGTTGCCAGGCTGGAGTGCAGTGGCACCATCTCAGCTCACTGCAACCTCTGCATCCTGGATTCAAGCGATTCTCCTGCCTCAACCTCCTGAGTAGCTGGGACTACTCTTATAAGTGCATTGCCTGATTTTATCTTTCAATGTTTTAATTACTTCAGTAAAAATGAATGCTAATATATCAAAACAATCAGAAAATATAATATATAAAATATTTGCTACTATAGAATATGACAAAAAATTATACGTACTGTTGTTATGAAATAATGAATTCATATTAAACAGTTATAGAAAACATGTTTGTGTAGTCCATGTAAAATGAAAGAAAATGTTAATATATATTAACTTATTAAAAAAGAAAAATATAATTTAAAAATAAAAATATTTGCCATAAGGGATAGAAAATTGTTTCAGATGAAAATGAATCGAGTTTTATTCCTTTAATAAAACTTTTACTTATATCTTTATTTATATCAAATGAATCAATGATATAAAGACTTTATAGCTGCAAAATATAAAGAAATAACAAGTATAGGCTGGGCGCGGTGGGTCACGCCTGTAATCCCAATACTTTGGGAGACCGAGGCGGGTGGATCACCTGAGGTCGGGAGTTCAAGACCAGCCTGACCAACATGGAGAAACCCCATCTCTACTAAAAATAAAAAATTAGCCGGGCATGGTGGTGCACACCTGCTATCCCAGCTACTCGGGAGGCTGAGGCAGGAGAATCGCTTGAACCTGGGGGGCGGAGTTTGCAGTGAGCCGAGATTGTGCCCTTGCACTCCAGCCTGGGCAATGAGAATGAAACTCCGTCTCGAAAGAAAAAAAAAAAAAGGAAAGAAATAATAAGTATAACCACTTACTCTTTCAATAATTATTTAATTAGATGAATTTATTCCTGTGATGCTATGATGATTGGTTTTGTGGAACAAAAGAGCTAAACAGGCTTATATTGTCTAAGAACCAGGATTATATAAGCAGCATATCATACATGACCTCTATTGGAAGGCTCAGGAAATAAGAACATCAATACATAATTCATTTAAGAAACCTCAGGCCAAAATAATCTCATGCTTTGATTAATACCAAGTCTTAAAAGACTGATTATTTTACTTGAGGAAAGTACAATTGTAAACCAGTCAGGCTATGTGCATAAGTCATACATTTTTAGGTGACTAGAAAAATAATATGTTGCTGTATTTTTTAACCTACTATATTTGTTTGATTTTCAAACCAAAAATTCTTAACACACTTTTCTAGTTGATTCAAGCAACCTAAGCCAATAGGTGTTGCTTTCCATGCATATAACAAATGTGGGAACTGAGACTCAGAGAAGTTAATTAACTTGGCCAAGTTATGGAGCTAGTAGCGGCAGAGGTGCCAATCAAACAGTCTATCTCTGGCAGGATTCTAGGTTTGGGGCTAACTTACTATGTCTATATTATTATACTGTAACACTCTGTGAACTCCCAACAAAAACTGTCAAGTGACAACAAAATCCATAAAGATTTCAAGTTAGTTTAGTTTTTCTTTCCTTAACATAATCAATCTTAGTGTTAAATGCTGCATTTATTTATGTGGTTACTTGATTAAATGTCTGCCTCTCTTCTCTCTAAACTGTATGCCCCATGAGAGCAAAGACTGTACCTATTTTGGCATACTATTGTTTCCCTGGCACTTCAAAAATATTTGTAAGTGGAAGCAGAGAAGTAGTGGGAGCCACGAGTAAGCAAAAATCATGAGCTAGAGAGGTGTGGAGAGAGGGATGGCTGGTATTGGGGACAGATTCAGAAGCAGTAGAAGCAGTGACTGTGTTGGGGGAGCAGTGAATGAAGCAGTGTCAGAGCACCTGAGTCATGGGAATGGTGCAGCACCCGAAGGAGATAATAACATGGTCCTTATTTTTCAGACATGACACAGGCACGCCTGTTCATTCTCTGCAGCAGCTTCTGAATCCTGAACAATAAATACTATTATGGTTCCCTATGACACTAGACATTTTGTTGTGGAACAGTTTTCTTGTCCTGCCTTACTCCCCCAGGAATCCTTATAATAAACCTTCGTCACTTGAGGTGAACTGGCCACACCTTTGGAACTTAAAAGCCTTTCAGATCTGTCAGTTGAAGATAATAATACTGTCATACTTCCTGGAGTTGTAAAAGAGTCAATGTACAAAGAAGCACTTTGAAAACTTTAAAATTTTCTACTAAGTCATGACCTTTGGACCATGCTTCTATTTTCTAGCTCAAAAAACATGTTAAATAAAAAGAAGAGACATGGAATATGTTTGGAAGCAAGCAATAATTAAACAGTCTTAGAAAACCACTTCTGGCAGGCCCTGATCTAGAGACAAAATGCATCACTGAGAAATTAGGAGCTCCTGTCTCAGTCACACCATTAACACTGATTTTTTTTTTTTTTAAAGATATGGTCTTGCTCTGTCACCTAGGCTAGAAGTGCAGTGGCATGATCATGGCTCACTGCAACCTTGACCTTCCTGGCCTCAAGCGATTCTCTCACCTCAGCCTCCTCAGTAGCTGGGACTACAGGCAGAAGCCACTGTAACCTCGCTAATTAAAAAAAAAAAATTTGTAGGTTGGGTGTGGTGGCTCACACCTGTAATCCCAGCACTCTGGGAGGCTGAGGCGGGCAGATCGCCTGAGGTCAGGAGTTCAAGACCAGCCTGCCAACATGGTAAAACCCCATCTCTAAAAAAATACAAAAATCAGCCAGGCACGATGGCAGGTGCCTGTAATCCCAGATACTTGGGAGGCTGAGGCAGGAGAATTGCTTGAACCCAGGAGGCAAAGGCTGCAGTGAGCCGCGGTCGTGCCACTACACTCCAGCCTGGGTGACAGAGTGAGACTCTGTCTCAAAAATAATAATAATATTTGTAGAGATGGGGTCTCCCTGTGTTGCCTAGGTTTGTCTCAAACTCCTGGGCTCAAGGGATTCTCCTGCCTCAGCCTCCCAAAGTGCTGGGATTATAGGCATGAGCCACGACACCCAAGCTGAATAAGCTTCTTAACCATGTGTGCTAAATAGTCTTAGCACACTAGGGCTTTATAGAGTAAGATAAATATAAAATGGCTGAAATACAATGACATTCCAAAGTACCTAGACAGTTTCCAACTTACAATGGTTCCACTTAATGATTTTTGTACGTTATGATGGTATGAAAGTGATGGGCATTCAGTATGCTCCTTGATTTACAATGGGGTTTTGTCAGGACGTAACTCCATCTAAGTCAAGAAGCATCTGTACTTAACAGAAATAAGTTCTTCAATCCAGGGGTTCTGAAATCCTGGTACAATAGCTACTGTCAGTGTCAAGTCCACACCCCCTTGGAGTCACCTGTTCTGTGCATGCCAATGGTTTCTTACTGCATGCACCAGTGGCTCTCTACCTGAGGGCTTTCTCTAGCCATGAAGATGTTCAAATTGCACACAAGGCAGTCTGGAAGTGTTGCAGAGGAGATGCTTCCAGGAGCAGCCCTCAACCAATGCCAAATGAGAACTGATGGATAAAACACATTTTCTTTGACCCTTAGGCGTAACAACTCTCAGGTGGATTCTGTGCTGTGTCCCAGAGTTTCACATGAATGGAGTGCCCTACTTATCCACAGCAGCAACCTGCTCATTTTAGCATTCCCTGTATTGGCCCCCTCCCCTTTCTTGCTCTTGAACTGAAGTATTCTGGAATCACTTCCTAAGTAAAAAATTTAACACTCAAGTACTAGTCTCAAAGTCTGCTTCTGGGGAAATCCAAACTAAGATATTTTGTCAAACTAATGCTATTTGTTTTTCTTTTTTGTTGTTGTTGTTTTGTTGTTGTTGTTTTTGAGACAGAGTCTTGCTGTCACCCAGGCTGGTGTGCAGTGGCACAATCACAGCTCACTGCACCCTCAACCTCTGGAGCTCAAGCTATCTGCCCACCTAAGCCTCCCAATTAGCTGGGACTACAGGCATGTACCACCACACCTGGCTAATTTTTTCTATTTCTCATAGAGACAGGGTCTCACTATGTTGCCCATGCTGGTCTGGAACTCCAGGGCTCAAGTGATCCTCCTGCCTTGGCCTCCCAAAGTACTGGGATTATAGTCTTGAGCCACCATGCCTGGCCTTCAATGCCAATTTTTAATGCATCCATGGAAAAAGATAAAATAAGAACATAATATATGATGAATATTTCATGAAGCTAAATTTATGTAATTCTAAGGACTTTTCCTTTTTTTTCTAAAATTATTTCCATCCTTTCTCTTTCCTCCTTCCCTCTTTCTCCCTGCTTTGAAATGTCCTTTCCTTTTATGAAATAAAGCAGCAGGAAATGGCAGTTTTGTTGTAATAACAAAATACTTCTCTCTTCACAACATTGGCAAACTCATAATTGGCAATTCTGTAGTCTCTCAATTTTTGTGGAAACTTTAGTAGTCTATGAAACCCAGAAGTCTGAACATCACTGATACATACCATTATATTTACATGTCATATTTCATTGCTTTTTAAAAACTATTCGATAAACAGTGAATAGGAAGTTGAAAAATAAGAGTTCTAGTAAGATAACAAGTGAAGTTGAAAAGTCTTCAAAAGAGCACGCGGATTGAGAAATAATTATAGTTAGAAATAGAAAGCTGTTTTTAGTTGAGTAAAGTTACACTACTTACAGTGCATTTGCAGTAGTTAAAGCTCTCACCTTATTTATGATAATTATCTGACTCAAGGCTCCACTTAGCCCTTTCATTGTATAGTTACTTTAAAGAGCGGTGTGTATTGCCATACTAACTGAATTTGCAAGTGAAAGCATTCCTGGAAGACTCTCAGGTAGACCAAAGAATGTAACTTGAATTAGAGACTGCAGGATTCTTGAGGTGAAAAGACCAAAGCTTAGTTGGATTTCATGACTGTGCTTCAGGTGCTATTTAAATTGTTGCTGGCATATTCAAAAAATATTATCTGTGAAAAATGGGAGTGTAATAATGAGGGAAATATGGCAAAGTCCTACCCACCCGACTCTCCCACATTCTTTGCCTTGAAACCATTCCGTTCCCTTTTCTCCTTTACTTCTACCATGAGGTACTATCATATATAGGAGCCAGGCAAAGAAAGGAAAATACATAAATGTGCCTGGTCAGAGTAAAATAATAGGTAAAGAAAAAGAGACTAGAAATCATGAAGGAGGAAAGGTTCTGACAAAAAATAATGAAGTATCTGCAATATAAAGACAAAATAGGAATAAAGTAAAAAAAAAAAATATATTTTTCTATTATTTTATATTTTAAGAGATATTTAGATCTAACTGTTCTAATCTTCTTTACTCATATATTGGTTTGAATGTTTTGAGAGAGCTCTGGATAATTTACCTTGTAATTTATTTTACAGCCTCAGAGATCATCACACAGTTCTTCAATTTCTCTATGGTATTTATAATTTTCATAAATCTTAGTTATTATACCACATATTGTAATCTCTGCAGAGTTATTTGCCTTTTCATCAAAGTATTTCCTTTAACCTGTATCTCCTCGATGTTATTTTCTCATAAGATCTTTGTAATAAAAAAATTTGTGCTCTGGAGGGTTTTAAGATAAAGTCAATAAATGCAGTGGGGACATTAGGGTTAGAAGTAAAGGCTTTCTTTCAAAATTATTGGGTCAATGAAACCTTTTGATACTATTTAGGTAAATTTGGAAGGCTATTTGTGTAACTCAATATGTACTAGGGCATGGAACACAATTTGGCATTCTTCAAACACAGCAGTAAGCTCTTTATTACTTCTTGGTTAGTCCTCCCATCAGAAACTATTCTTACCTATGCTCTAAGGTCCTCTAAAATTACAGTTATGTTACTGAGTTAGAATTACCTTTCCACATACTCAAGATATCAAAACTATAAAATATTTTGGAACGTAGTACATTCATATTTCTTTTTCTTTTTTTTTTTTTTGAGACAGAGTCTTGCTCTGTCACCCAGGCTGGAGTGTTAGCCAGGATTGTCTCGATCTCCTGACCTTGTGATCTGCCCGCCTCGGCCTTCCAAAGTGCTAGGATTACAGGCGTGAGCCACCGCACCCGGCCACATTCATATTTCAGTTGCCAATGAAACCAGAATGAGCCAACTTCATTTCTTAAATTTTCAGTTTCTTTTCATACACAAGTTTTTGTCCAGCACTTTTTATTATTTAGTCTTCATTAAATACTATGTTTCAAGATCCAGAGTAACTTTTCTAAAATCACAGATATAATAGCTTATTTTACTAAAGGTAAAATATATTTTGAATTTTCTTTCTTTTGTGTACTATTCTGTTTTTCAATACCTCCCTGTTTAATATCTGTGAATTTAATTAAGATAGTTTACTTCCCTTTGTTAACTGGGCAGAAAGTTAAGGTGGGTAGAAAAGAAAGGCAATGGACAAAAATTAAGTAGAAACATTAAATCCTTTTGGAAAAAATGAAAATAAAGATAGACAACGTATTTGAGATTCAGAAAGTACACAAGCAATAGTAAAGATTAGAGCCTAGATCTATCCAATAATAGGAATATATTAAATATCTGAAAATACCTCATAAAAATATGTGGCAATTTCTTTGGAGGAAAAGAACAGGGCTAACTCTAAGGCTAAACAAAAACTAGGTAAGATATTGGTATAAGGCTGATTTACAAATAGACATAGTAGTTATTTCCTACTGGTTAAGAAATTGATTTCCAAAGATGGGAGCTGATCAAATTTGGTATTTGTTAAAAGGATGAAGATCTGTTCAAAGTAGCATACTGAGGTTGCCTAGGACTGGGCTAGGCAGTAGAATAGACCACAGGTTGTATTTGCAGTACAGTTTTGTAGGTACATACACCTAAAAGTCTAGAAAACATTTAATTGAGCATTTGATAGGTGTTAGACTGCATTAAATATTGACCTTTACAAGTGCTAAAGAATTGTCAAAAAGGAGGAGGTAATTCTGCAGTAAGAGTAGTGAGCCTCACCTGGACTCCCAGGCAACATACAGAGGGTGTGTGAACATTTAGAAATCAGTGATAACCAAGAGCCGGTGATAACCTGCCAGTTCAATGTCCTGCATTCAAGGGCTGACAGTGGTGACTGGGACAGGAATGTTGGAGGATTGGGATGCTAACACACTGGAGGTTTTCAAGCACAGGCTATATTAAGATTTGTTGGGATTGTTGCACTTGGTGTTCACACAGCAGACAGTAAGTAGAGTAGGTATTTTGATAGTCTTGTCTAACTGAGGGTCTAAGTTTAAAAGAAAACTGTTCTCAGGGAGGCCACCATAAGTAGTACTTCATTATTAAGTATTATGGAACTACTTCATTCTCATTTCTAGAACAGCACAGAGCTTGGCAACTCAAAACCCGCCTATTTTACCTACCCACCTAATGAATGACATTTATTATTTCTTTCAGAACCGTTTTTAGGTATTGCATACCTCCTTCTTGATTAGTATACTATACATTAATATAGTGGTTCTCAAACTTAAGTGTGCAAACAATCACTTGGAGGGTTTGTTAAAATGGATCGCTGCATATTTTCTGATTCAGAAGGTCTGAGGTGGCATTTCTGAATTCCTAGGATGTTGCGGCCTGAATTCACTTTGAGAACTCTAGCTCCTGTGACTGGTCCATCTTCCTTCTCCCAGGTAGCACACTGCTAAGAGATATGCGTAATGGAGGCCCCAGGACTACTCCTAATCAAGTTGGATTGTTGTCATTGACTAGGTAAATAGGCCTGTGCAAACTTACAAAGGCAATGCATTGCCTGTATCTTGTCACGTCTTTTAGTGGTCTTTTCTCTTTTTCCTGGGTTTCTATCACAGCCACTTGCCATCCTGAGTGTTAGTTTGATCATCCTTAGCACAGAAAATATTGATCTCAAAGATCAATATCCAATGGTATTTAATGTGGGATCACTCCTGGGAGAATTTAACAATATTGTTAATTTCAAACCATGGGAAGCTCCCTCTACATGAATGCATAGTTTGTATACATTTTAGTGTAAAAGACAAAATAACACCCTTCTCCTTAATTGTATTAAAAATGAGTTTTCAGTTTATTGCTACTTTTGAAACGATATATAATTATAACTAGCATTCTGGGACATTCTTGACATTTGACTTGTTGAAGGTGCTTGCATTGTGGATCACGTCCTGCAGTCTTTTGCACACAAACCAGGACAAAAGTGCATTGATTAGTGTTTTCTGTGGCACCTCCTCCTCTTCATCAGTATCCAACAGACTTATAATGGCATAGGTAAGTATATGAGACAGTTGATAAAGAAAAACGTATGCAAATACTGGTAGAAATCTTACTTCATAACCACTATTTCTACTCAAATTCTTCACCCTTCTCATATGGTGCCCTTTATTTCGTTTTGGAGTTTCAGAATCTATTTTAACTGTGTGTGTGTGAGATAGTCATAGTGATTTATAGCATGCAACGAAAAAGAAAACATTAATAGTACTGCCCCGATCTTCAAAGCTACCTGACCCCTGCCCGGTTTCTGCGCTGCTGGTTAAGGCTGTTTTTTCCACTGGTCAGGAAGTACGGAACTAGTTTCTGGGCATTTTCCTTTCCCTTTCCCCCTCCTTCCTCTCCACCGCCTCCTGGTCCCCCTCTGGTCTCTCCGGCTTTAACAGCGCCAAGCACCCGCGTGCTCAGGTACCCTTCCCTCTTCTCCCGCCCATCAAACAAAGCCCCGGGAGACAGGCGCGCGCCGCCGGCCACGCCAACAGGAGATGCGGCCGCGCCGCCACACGCTTGGAACCGGAGGAGGACAGCAAGCGCGACCACGCACCGCGCGTCCCCGCCGCTTCCTTCCCTCTGGACTCTTCCTTTTCCTCCCGGCCCGGCCCCCCGCCCCCGCTCCGGGAACGCGCCTGCGCACAAGCTGCCCTCTCCCTTCTCCGCCCTTCCTTCCCTCCGTCCCTCCTCCCCTGCCCCGCCTTCCTTTCTCTCTCTCCCGTTTCACTCACTGAGAGCTCCAGGTAGTGAGCAGTTCAGTCGATTTCCTCGTTACCCCGCCCCCCTTTCTCTTGCCCCCCCACCCCTCTCATCTGCCTGGTGGAGGATGAAGCGGCTGCAGTGGCCCCAGCCTCAGCAGCGGCACCGGCGGTGGCTGCGGTGTGGGTGGCCGGAACTGGGGTGGTGAAGAAGCGGTGGTGGCGGCTGAAGGAGCGGTAGCAGCCTCAGCCTCTTTCCCTGTGCTTCCTTTCCTCTTTAGTGCAGCGAGGAAGTTTTCGCTTCTGTACATGTGTTTGTGTGCGTGAGTGTGGGTGTGTGCGGTGAGGTTTGGGTGGCGTTTGTGCAGGCGTTGGGTTTTTTGCCCACTTGGCTTCCCGTAACCCAGGCAGCTGGGGAGCCTGGGCTGTGGCCCTAGGAGGGGGCGCGGCGGCGGGCTCTCTCCTTTTGTTGTTGTTTCCTCAGCCTGGGGAGCTGAAGGGGAGACGCGTCTGGGTGGGGCTGCTCGGAGCCCGGGCCTGGTGGCCCCTGGGGCTCCCGGGCGGGCAGGGTAGGGCAGAGTAGAGCGGGCTTCAACATGATGGCGGCCGAGGCCGGCAGTGAGGAGGGCGGCCCGGTAACAGCCGGAGCTGGAGGAGGCGGCGCGGCAGCGGGCTCCAGTGCCTATCCCGCAGTGTGTCGGGTGAAGATACCCGCGGCCCTGCCTGTGGCAGCCGCCCCCTATCCTGGGCTGGTGGAGACCGGAGTGGCTGGAACTCTGGGTGGCGGAGCCGCTTTGGGGTCAGAGTTCCTAGGAGCCGGGTCTGTGGCAGGGGCACTGGGGGGAGCTGGACTGACAGGGGGAGGTACTGCTGCTGGCGTAGCTGGTGCTGCTGCTGGCGTGGCCGGTGCTGCTGTTGCTGGACCTAGTGGAGACATGGCTCTCACCAAACTGCCCACTTCGTTGCTTGCTGAGACTCTCGGGCCAGGCGGCGGTTTTCCCCCTCTGCCCCCTCCCCCTTACCTGCCCCCTTTGGGGGCGGGCCTCGGGACAGTGGACGAAGGTGACTCTCTGGATGGACCAGAATACGAGGAGGAAGAGGTGGCCATACCGTTGACCGCTCCTCCAACTAACCAGTAAGTTAAGACTGCTGTTCAGGAATTTGGGAAGCTGGCTCCAGAAAAGAAGTGGAAATGAAGGGGTAAATCATACTTTGTCCTTTTCATCTGTGGTTTGTTAGGAAAAGTTTTTGAAGTTTCAGGTTTCTTGGGTAGGAATTTAATCTGATCACTTATCTTCCTTACAGGCATACTACCTGGCGTCTTCCTACATTTATTGCTCCTCTGGGAAAGTGTAAAGTCTTTAAGATGGAAAGCATGAGAAAATGTGTATCTAATGAGAACCGGATATAGTTCTGTCCCTTCCAAGTTGAGGTGGTGTCCCAGAATTTAGTCAAACTGCGGCTACCAAGGCAGTCATAGTGTATATTAACTTGTGTGTGTTACTTGATAAAGCTAGATGATTAGTGAGAAGCTTTGAATACAGGTGTTTAAACGAGTACTATAGTAATAATTTGAAAAATGTATTGGTTAGAATGTTTTTATTTCAGTGCACAGCCCAGCTTCTGATTAGAGAAAGCATAGTGATGCAGAAGAGTCTTTGGGTCACTTAATGAGAACTTGGGTCAGAGAGAAAGGAAAGGAATCCTGTGTATTATAGGTGTGATTAAGAGCCTATATTCCAACAATGTATCTTCTTCCATAGGCTTGCCACTTAATATTAACGCACTGCTTTTATAGTGGAGACTTTGGAAGTACAACAGTGAGGCAAAACAAAATCAATAGAGCTTCCCTTAAACATTTTTTGTTGGTGGCCAGTATAGTATTCTATTTAAAAATTAAGTTTTACAGTCTGTAAAATATACAGGACAATGACTTTTTTAAAATGTAAGTTAATACCTCCTCCTCACTTGTCTTAATTGAACTTAGGTGTTTATTCTTAAAGGTGGACCTTGATGAAAATGTTGAGATGGGAAGTGTTATTAGGCAAAACTTGTTATAGATTTCTCATATAACCCTTAATTGACCCTTAGAATTTTAACAACCGGCCGGGCGCAGTGGCTCACACCTGTAATCCCAGCACTTTGAGAGGCTGAGGTGGGCGGATCACCTGAGGTCAGGAGTTCGAGACCAACCTGGCCAACCTGGTGAAACCCTGTCTCTACTAAAAATACAAAAATAAGCCGGACGCGGTGGCACGCGCCTATAATCCTAGCTACTTGGGAGGCTGAGGCAGAAGAATCGCTTGAACCCAGGAGGCGGAGGTTGCAGTGAGCCGAGATCGTGCCGCTGCACTCCAGCCTGGGTGACAGAGCGAGACTCTGTCTCAAAAAAAAAAAAAAAAGAATTTTGACAACTTTGTTGAATATCAAGAAAAAAAGATTTGGTTCATATGTTGACAGTCACTCTGGACAATTCAGAGGTTTTTTTTTTTTTCCTTCCCCCCACCCCAGAGATGGAGTCTCGCCTTGTTGCCCAGGCTGGAGTGCAGTGGCGTGATCTCGGCTCACTGCAACCTCCGCCTCCCGGGTTCAAGAGATTCTCCTGCTTCAGCCTCTCTAGTAGCTGGGATTACAGGCGCATGCCACCATGTCTGGCTAATTTTTGTATTTTTAATAGAGACGAAATTTCGCCATATGGCCAAACTGATGTCGAACTCCTGACCTCAGGTGATCCGCCGGCCTCAGCCTCCCAAAGTGGTGGGATTACAGCCGTAAGCCACGGTGCCCGGCCTTTTTTTTTTTTTTTTTTTTTTTTTTTTTTTTTTTTTGGATAAGCTTCTTTGGAGCATTTAGAAAGTTCTGAAACTAATTAGGAAAAGATTCTGTTACCCTAATCCATTTTTGACTTAAGGCTACATCTTTTGATACTTAAAGGGGAAAAGTAAAGTTAGTCATATTTATGCCAGCCAACGGGATGTAGTATTCCACTTTTTATATTCCTCAATAAAGGATTCAAGTCTTTCGTCAGAGTTTGGTTCATATTTTAATGTCTTTGTAATGCAGAGTCCCTGGGAGTATTCTGGGAGTGTTAATTCCAATTTTGCTGGGCGCGGTGGCTCACGCCTGTAATCCCAGCACTTCGGGAGGCCGAGGCGGGTGGATCACCTGAAGTCCGGAGTTTGAGACCAGCCTGACCGAGATGGAGAAACCCCGTCTCTACTAAAAATACGAAATTAGCCTGGCGTGGTGGCGGGTGCCTGTAATCCCAGCTTCTTAGGAGGCTGAGGCAGGAGAATCGCTTGAACCCGGGAGGCGAAGGTTGCAGTGAGCCGAGATCCTGCCATTGCACTCCAGCCTGGGCAATAAGAGCTTAACCCCGTCTCAAAACAAACAAACAAACAAAAAAACAATATTACAGCACTGCTTTTGAAAAAAATAGTTCAATTTTTATTAAATGCTAATAGCATGCTTGGTACAATGGTTATGAAAAACAATGCAACTTTTCATACTGAAAGAATCTAGTCTTATGCTAGTTTATAACTAAATTAGGTATATTTAGGATATTGTAGTTAAAAAAAACTGTTTTTAGTAGACTTCTTTTTTTTTTTTTTTTTTTTTTTTTTTTTTTTGAGAGATGGAGTTTCGCTGTTTCGCCCAGGCTGGAGTGAAGTGGCGTGTTTTCGGCTCACTGCAAGCTCCGCCCCGCCCCTCCCCGCCTTCAGGTTCAAGCGATTCTCCTGCCTCAGCCTCCTGAGTACCTAGGATTACAGGTGCCCGCAACCAGGCCTGGCTAATTTTCATATTTTTAGTAGAGACAGGGTTTTGCCATGTTGGCCAGGCTGGTCTCGAACTCTGACCTCAGGTGATCCACTTGCCTCCCGAAGTGCTGGGATTACAGGTGTGAGCCACCGCGCCTGGCCCAATAGACTGTTTTTTAGAGTAGTTTTAGGTTCTCAGCAAAATTGAGGGGAAAATACAGGGTGTTCCCATTAAATTTTTAGTAATAAACACGATTGGGCTGGGGGTGGTGCTTCACGCCTCTAATCCCAGCAATTTGGGAGGCCAAGGCGAGTGGATCACTTGAGGTCAGAGTTCGAGACTAGCTTGGCCAACACGGTGAAACCCCGTCTCTACTAAAAAAAAAAAATCAGCCGGTCGTGTTGGCGGGCGCCTGTAATCCCAGCTACTCTGGAGGTTGAGGCAGAATTGCTTGAACCAGGGAGGGGGCGGTTGCAGTGAGCCGAGATCTGCCGTTGCACTCTAGCCTGGGCAGCAAGAACGAAACCCTGTCTAAAAAAAAAAAAAACACCATGATTGAGTACTTATGAAAAATTGTGAGAAATTCATTGTGTGGGATTTTCACCATTACTACATGTATTTGGAAATAAAAATTGTATGACTATGTATATGAAACTTGTTCATGTTCTAAAAAATACCCTCCATTTATAATATGTTTTTAAAATTTGCCACTGAGAAGTACAAATTTCCTTCTTATTTCATCTTAGTTATCAACCCAGAGTCACTGGAGGCAATGCAGTGTAGTGGTTAAGCGTGCAGATTCTGAAGTTAGACAAGATTTGGGTTGGAATCCTGACTCTGCCACTTACTAGCTGGGTATTCTTGGAAAGGTCAGTTTCCCCATCCGTAAAATGGGGATAGGAATGGTACCTTCCTCATATGATTGTTTTTTTTTTTTTAAGATTTAATGAATACCTTGATGTATTCGTCACAGTACTTGGGCATAGTAAGTGTTCGATAAATACGTAGTCCCCTGTGCCCATAACTGTAATATTTTACTAGCACTAAATTGTCTACTAATTCTTTTGGTTAGAGAATCTCCCTTGTTAAATGACTATTTTACAGAATGTTTTGAACTCCAAATCAAGCCTACCACGATTAATTATATTAAGAATTTTATTTTAACTTTATAAGGGCTTCTAGCAGTAGGTTAAGCAATTTTAGAGGTGAAATTCAAGTGTTCTCTATAAATTCCTATTCCTGAATGTAGATATTCATATTTTTAAGTGGAAGGAAAAGCCTTAAAGACATTTTCAAATAATATTTATCTTTTGTAAAAGTATTGAAGAAATGTTGGACTAAATACTGACTATGAGTAACTGGTCCCCTTAGTTATGGATAGCATGGTATTAAGGGGGTTTAGGTCACAGGATTGAGTCCACAAGTGGCTTGTTACTCGAGTGTTCCATGGTCAGGAAGTTAGTTCAACTTTGTTCCCAGTTTTGTGCTATTGATCACAAAAGAGTCAAATGACAATATGTAGATACACCAGTGCAAATAAATTAACACTATTAATTAGTATTTTGTACCTTGTTTTTCTGTGTACGTGGTGAATCATTAGTCTCATTTTTATTACTGAGCATTTTCATTAGTTTGGTTGAGGCTGGAAATGTTTATGTAATTTGTACTATTTATTTGAATATTTTTGAAAGTTTTGAGAAAATTATAAAAATAAAAAAAATTCTTCCTCTCTATTTCTCTACTATAAAAGTTTCTATATCTAAAACTGTTAACAGATTTCTTTTTCGAGAGAGAAAAGGTTAAATTAAAGAAGTTTGTCACTAGTACTCCATAATTTTTTGGAGTTTCTTTTCATGGTTCTCATTTTTTTTCTTCTGCAGGGTGAGGGGCAGTGGTGGTAAAGGTATATTGTTTGTGTAGTGCACCATCAGTTATATGTAGAGATTTTTAACTGTGAGTCTGCAGTAGCAAGTGGCCATTGGTGAGAATCCAACCCACAGATATATACTGCTTGCCCTTAGAGTATTTGGAATATTTGATAATTGTCACCATTTAAGAATAGAGATTTCTTTTCTTTTTCTTTTTCTTTTTTTTTTTTTTTGAGATGGAGTCTTGCTCTGTTACCCAGGGTGGTGTGCAGTAGTGTGATCTTGGCTCACTGCAACCTCCGCCTCCCGGATTCAGGTGATTCTCCTGCCTCTGCCTCCCCAGTAGCCGGGGTTACAGGTACACACCACCATGCCTGGCTAATTTTTGTATTTTTAGTAGAGACGGGGTTTCACTCTGTTGGCCAGGCTGGTCTCGAACTCCTAACCTCAGGTGATCCGCCTGCCTTGGCCTCCCAAAGTGCTGGGATTACAGGCGTGAGCCACCTCGCGGCCAATAGGAAGATTTCATATTTAAGAAGTCTCAACTTCTAGCATCTCTAGAAAACCCACAGGACTTGGCTATACCTGGTGGCCATTCCTGCTTGAGACTAGATTGCCAGAGCTGAGTAGCGGTTGACCCTTTTAGGTGGGTACTGAGGTCTCCATTTGCAGTCTCCACCAGGTCTGCTTTGCCTTTGCTATTGCAGTATTTGCCTGGCATCTGGCCTGGATCTTATGCTGAACCTAATATTCAGACTTCTCAAGTCTGAAACTTTAAGGAAAAGAAAATAAGGAATGTAAATAGTACCTTTCTTTTTTAAAAAAATCATTTTACTGTCTCTACAAAAATAAAATCATTCTTATTAAGTCAAATAATTGGTGAAGGTTAATGTTAGAACATGTAGCATTCATTAACTTTGTCACTGATTGCATTATACATATGGGTGAGCCATTGTTTCTTAATAAAAATGGGGGTGAGACTTGCTAAGATTAGTTACGGACAATGATTGATGACCAGAACTCATATTTTTTACTGTATTTGTATAAGTAGCAGAGAAATATAGTAGGTGCTTCAAGGGTTGCAAGAGTAAAATGCCCCTTTTCTCAATGGGAGAAAAGGGAGTATTAGATCTAGTAGGAAATTAAGTAAACCAATTACTGTGATTCAGGCTAGGTTAAGATAAATATCACGAGTGAAGTATGAGCAAAGGTCATGAGGGTTAAAAGAAAAAGAAATTTGTGTAATTAGGATCAGTAAATTCTTTGAGGAAAAATAGCAGGTATGTTTTTCCTGCTACTTAATTTATTTTCTGAGCAAGAGGTTATTGGTTCTGATGCTCTTCGCTTAATGATTCTATCAGGAAAACATAATTATGAATTAGATGAGTTTAAACTTTTCACCCTTAGTGAAGAGTCTGGTCTACAGAACTTTTAGTTACCTGTGGTCTGGAGGGAAGTTGACGGTGATGTCTGTAGTGACTGAGGTACAGAGCACAGTTGAATGCTAGAATCGGTATGGATCATTGATTAGCCACTCTGGGGAAAACAGGCAAACATTACTGGCAAAGCTAAAAAGGACAGCCATAAATTAGGAAGGGAAAAGGAAAAACGAAGAGTAGACTTTCTGGTTGCTTTACTTCTCTCTCTTTACTGGCCATTGGTGAAATGAACAGAGTCCCTTTAAGAACACTTAAATACCCAGAAAAGTACCTTTTGGGAAGAAGATTTTTTATAGTGATTATTAACTATAACAATGGTTACCACTGACATTTTTTGTTGTTGTTGCTTACTGCCAAACAGGAACAGTTCTAATTGGTTTATTTGTATTGTTTTGGTTATCTATTGCTGCATAATAAAGCACTCCAAAACATAGTGGCTAAAACAATTGTGTATTTGCCCTTGATTCTAAAATTTGTGTATGGCTTTATGGTGACTTCTCCACATGTGATCTGTTGGCTATAATGTCCACTGTGGCTTCTTAACTCATAAATCTAGTGCCTCAACTGGGATGGCTGGAGCAGCTGGTAGATGGCTGGGCATTTCCCTCTCTCTTCCTACCCATGTCGTCTCTCCACTTGAAGAAGGTTGGCCTTCTTTTTTTTTTTCCCCCCTGAGATGGAGTCTTGCCCTGTCGCCCAGGCTGGAGTGCAGTGGTATGGCTCACTGCAACCTCCGCCTTCCGGGTTCAAGCATTTCTCCTGTCTCAGCCTCCCAAGTAGCTGGCATTACAGGTGCGTGCCACCACGTCCAGCTAATTTTTGTATTTTTCATGGAGATGGGGTTTCACCATGTTGGCCAGGCTGGTCTCGAACTCCTGACCTCGTGATCTGCCACCTTGGCCTCCCAAAGTGCTGCGATTACAGGCATGAGCCACTGTGCCCAGCCAGCTTGGCCTTCTTCATAGCATGGCAGCTATGGCAGTTCCGTGAAAGACCTTTCCAAGCCCTAGTGTGCCGGTATTTATCAAGCTTCTGTGTTCCTCATCCTTGCTAATGTTCCAATGGTGAGTGCTGGTCACATAACCCAGTGTGCATTAAATATGGGAGGGGACTATAAAATGGCATGAATACAGCAAGTTGAGCTTTCCTCAGGGCATCAAAGTAACAGTACCATGTGTATTACTTATTTTCATGTAATACGAGATAATAGAATACTAGTAGTGAGGGACAGGCTGGGAGATAGGACAAATACTTATGAGTTCTTCCTTCAGGCCCAGCAAGCTAAGTTGTCTTTTGTTAAATGAGTCAAATTTCTCCACAATAGATGTTGCTTTTTGGCTACCATTACCTTAATTTTAAACCAAAAATACTGAATACGGATGTTGTTTATTGTTTGAATATGCAGGTATTTCTGTGTTACCTTGAAATCACTGGCAGTACATTTCAGTTTTGTGCTGCGTTAAAAATTGTTGTTATTAGATACAACTTATTGATAACTATGTATGTCTTGTCACATCTCTACAGGATTTAGGGTATGATGATTTTAGGTGTTTTAGTGGTTATGTGATTTAGTGAGTAAAATAATGAACAGTATGGGGGACAAAAAGAAATATACAATTCTACAGTCTAGTTGGAAGATGAGGCATTACTGGTAGGGAAATAAGATGATAAAAGTAGTCTACAGATACGTTGTGCAGGTAAATTTTTCAAATTCAGAGGATAGTTGCCAAAGAGTGAAAGAATGAAAGTAAATGAAAGAATGATACTGAAATTTCATACCATAATTCTCTTGAAGGAAATTTCAGTATCATTCATTTAGGATTATTACAGTGAGAAAGTGTGATTAACTTTTGTAACATTTGTGTTTCAAATTGTAGTCAAGTTGTTATGTGTAACATAGAGTTTTAGTTACAGAGGGAAGCTTCTCTGCTTAGATACAGAAGTAGCCTTAGGTAGAGTGACTTGCTTCACTCCACCCTACACCCTAGCTAAGTTCATATAACTAGGTAGTGGTAGAACTGGGACAGAATCCGATTCTCATACTGTTTCACATATATTTAGATTTGAGTAATATTTATAATTCATTTTTTTTTAAATTTTAGAGAGGACTAGAAGCAAAGGCTCAGTATTTGCTAATCATTTGCTAGATGTCAGGTACTTTATATAGATTATCTTATTTAATTCTTACAATGATATAGTGAGAATGGGCATCATCCTCATTGTTGAGGAAACTGAGTGATAGAGCTGGAATTTTAATGTAAATACTATGCTTTTTATTTTGTCTTGCCCCTTTCCATTACGTAGAATGTACACACATATATGCACCCAGATAAAACTTAACGTACTTCAGGGCTGGCAGTAACTGGCATTTTGGACTTAATAGTTCCCCCCTGTCCCCCATAGTCATAGGTTGAAGCCTTAACCACCAATGTAACTGAATTTGGAGATACAGCCTTTAAAAGAGGTAATTAAGGTTAAATGAGGTCATAAGGGTGGCTGGTGAATCCTATAGGACGGGTACCTTTATAAGAAGAGGTACCAGGAGTATGAGTGCATCAAGAAAAGGTCATGTGAGGACATGGTGAGGAGGCCTTCATTTGTCAGCTAAGGAGAGAGGCCTGACCAGAAACCAAGCTTGCCAGCACTTTGATAGTTCAATTTCCAGCATGCAGAACTGTGAAAAAATAATTTCTGTTGTTTAAGCCACCCAGACTCTGGTATTTCGTCATAGCAGCCCAAACTGACTAATACATGGGTAACTCTACATCTTTAAAAATGGATTTGGATTATTTTGGAACAGATTAAATGCATGTCTGCTGCTTGAGAAATAAGGTCCTCATTCTTTTAATTTCTTTCACTGTGGGAGAGAAAATCTTGCCTTACTTTACCTCTTTCTTTGTTAGTCAGTGACCTTTATCTTTTTTGATTGTACCTCTGTTGAAAGATGGAAAGCATATTTAAATGCATGTCTGATTATTATAGTGTGGAAAGATCCTACACATGACCATGGTAGCCATGGAATATCCTATGGATAAGCTGTTACTCCAGCAAATTTTCTGTATTCAATGTGTGTTCATTGTTGTAACATTTTACTTTAAAAATTTCGCTAATACATCTGTCTCAAGCTAAGGGAAAGACTTAGAGATCTCCCTCACCTCTTTTAAGTGTTTTTTGTAGGAATAACTTGCTAAACTGGGTTCATATTAGACACTTGTGTAACGATAGACCGTATCTCACCTATATTCTTTTCTATCTAAATGTTGATTCATTTCTCTAATTTTTAAATCTTTTTATTTTGAGGTAATTGTAGATTCATATGCAGTTTTAAGAAATAAGACAGATGGGCCGGGCGCAGTGGCTCACTCCTGTAATCCCAGCACTTTGGGAGGCCGAGGTGGGTGGATCACAGGGTCAGGAGATCGAGACCATCCTGGCTAACACGGTGAAACCCCGTCTCTACTAAAAATACAAAAAAAAAAAAAAATTAGCTGGGCGTGGTGGTGGGTGCCTGCTACTCGGGAGGCTGAGACAGGAGAATGGCGTGAACCTGGGAGGCAGAGTTTGCAGTGAGCCGAGATCATGCCACTGCACTCCAGCCTGGGCGACAGAGCGAGACTCTGTCTCAAAAAAAAAGAAAAGAAAAAGTAATAAGTTAGAGATGTACTTGTTCATCCATTTTACCTCAGTGGTAACATCTTGCATAACTATAGTGCAGTATCAAAACCAGGACATTGACATCGCTGTAATCCACCTATTTTGTTCACATTTCACCAGTTTTACATATATTCATTTGTGTGTGTGCATGTATGTGTGTGTGATATATTTAGTATTTAGTTCTATGCAGTATTGTAACATGTAAATTTGTATAATCATTACCATACTAGAGATACAGAAGAGTTTCTTCACCACTAGAATCTCTCATGCTGTGTTTTATAACCAGAGTGTCTCCTTCCTCTTTCCTTATTCCCTGGTAACTGCTAATTTGTTCTTTTTTTTTTTTTTTTTTTTTTTTCCTGTGGTCATTTAAAGAAGATTATGCGGGCTGGGTGCAATGGCTCATTCCTGTAATCTCAGCACTTTGTGAGGCTGAGGCAGTTGGATCGCTTGAGCCCAGGAGTTCAAGACCAGCCTGGGCAACATGGCGAAACCTTGTCTCTACAAAAAAAACAAAAATTAGCTGTTCGTGGTGTTGCACACCATAGTCCCAGCTATTCAGGAGGCTGAGGTGGGAGGATCACCTGAGCCTATGAGGTTGAGGCTGCAGTGAGTTATGATTGTGCCATTGCACTCCAGCCTGGGTGACAGAATGATAACCTGCCTCAAAATGGAATCAAATAGTATGTAACCTTTTGGGATTGGCATTTGTCACTCAGCATAATTTGTCAAGTTCGTGTAAGTTGAAGTATCAATATTTTGCCCTTTTTTCATTGCTGAATAGTAGTCCATGGTGTAGATGTGCCACAGTTTGTTTAACCGTTCAGCCATTGGGGAACATTTGGGTCATTTCTAGTTTTGGGTATTATAAAAAAAAGCTGCTATAAACATTTGTATATATGTTTTTGTGTGAACATAAGTTTTCATTTCTGTCAGTTAAGTCCCCGAGAGTACAATTACTGGATTGTATGATAGTTGCATGTTCACTTTTATAAGAAATTGCCAGCATTTTCTATAATGGCTATATATTTTTACATTCTCACCAGCAATGTGTGAAAGATCCGGTTTCTCTGTGTCTTAACCAGCATTTGATGATATCATTTTTTATTTTAGCCTTTCTGTTTTTACTGATATCTCATTGTGATTTTGATTAACATTTTTCTAATGTCTAATTATATTAGTCAGGGTTCTCCAGAGAGAATCAATAAGATACATGCATATATAAAAGGGAGTTTATTAGGGAGAATTGGCTCATGCCATTACAAAGTCAAAATCCCACAATAGGTCATCTGCAAGCTAGCCAATGAAAAAAGCTGGTACCACATCCAAGTTGGAAAGCCTCAAAGCCAGGAAAGCTGACAGTCTGAGGCCAAAGGCCTGAGACCCCCAGGGAGGCTGCTAGCCTGAGTCCTGGAGTCCAGAGACCAAAGAACCTGGAGTTTGATGCCTGAGGGCAAAAGCAAAATATCCCTCACTAGAAGGGGATGGGGAACTCAGCACGCTGGCTCTGTTTCTCTTACTGCCTGCTTTGTTCTGGCAGCCGACTGCATTGGATGGTGCCCACCCAGAGTGGGTCTTACTCTCCTCATTCACTGACTCACATGCCAGTCTCTTCTGTAAACACCCTCACAGACACACCCAGAAACAATGCTTCACCAGCCATCAAGGCATCCCTCAGTCCAGTCAAGCTGACACCTAATATTAACCATCACAGTAATGATGTTGGAAAATCTTTTTCTTTCTTTCTTTTTTTTTTTGACAGTGTCTTGCTCTGTTGCCTAGGCTGGAATGCAGTGGCACAATAATGGCTCATTACAACTTCCACCTTCCAGGTTCAAGCGATTTTCCTGCCTCAGCCTCCCAAGTAGCTAGAATTACAGGCACCTGCCACCACGCCTGGCTAATTCTTGTATTTTTAGTAGAGACAGGGTTTCACCATGTTGGCCAGGCCGGTCCTGAACTCCTGACCTCAAGTGATCCACCTGCCTCAGCCTCCCAAAATGCTGGGATTACAAGCGTGAGCCACCTCGCCCAGCTTGAAAAATCTTTTCATGTGCTTTTTCCATCTGTATACCTTCTTTGGTGAAATGTCTGTGTCTTTGGCCCATTTTCAAATTGGATTTTTTTAAATTGTTGAGTTTCAAGAGGTTCAACCCATATTGTAACATGTGTCAGAATTTTCTTTCTTTCTTTTTTTTTGAGACAGAGTCTCACTCTGTCGCCCAGGCTGGAGTATGGTGGTCCGATCTCGGCTGACTGCAAAGTCCACCTCCCCAGTTCATGCCATTCTCCTGCCTCAGCATCCCGAGTAGCTGGACTACCGGCGCCTGCCACCACGCCTGGCTAATTTCTTTTTTTTTTTTTGAGGCTGAATAATGTTCCATTGCATGTATATATCACCTTTTGTTTACCCAGTTATCCACTGAACATTTGGGTTGCTTGCATCTTTTGGCTATGGTTCCCAGTGTGCACATGGTATATAAATATCTGTTCCAGTGCCTGCTTTCATTTTGGGTATATACCCAGGCATGGAATTGCTGAATCATATGGTAATTCTGTTTTTAATTTTTTAAGGAATCATCATACTGTTTTCCACAGTGACCACACCATTTTATAGTCCCAGCAGCAATGCACAAGGGTTAGAATTTCTCTGCATCCTTGCCAACACTTTTTTTTTTTTTTTTGAGACGGAGTTTCGCTCTTGTTGCCCAGGCTGAAGTGCAATGGCGTGATCTCGTCTCACTGCAATCTCGTCTCACTGCAATCTCGTCTTACTGCAATCTCCGCCTCCTGAGTTCAAGTGATTATCCTGCCTCAGCTTCCCGAGTGCCAACACTTTTTATTTTCTATTTTCTTAATAATAGCTATCCTAGTGGGTGTGAAGTAGTAACTGGTTTTGATTTGCATTTTCCTAAGATTAGTGCTGTTGAGCATCTTTTCATGTGCTTATTGGCCATTTATATATATATCTTTTTTTTGAAGAAATGTCTGTTGCCCATTTTTGTTTTTGTTTTTGTTTTTTTGAGACGGAGGCTTGTTCTGTTGCCCAGGCTGGAGTGCAGTGACACGATCTCGGCTCACTGCAACCTCCGCCTCCTGGGTTTAAGCGATCCTCCTGTTTCAACCTCCCAGCTAGCTGGGATTACAGGCGCATGCCACCACGCCCGGCAAATTTTTGTGTTTTTAGTAGAGATGGGGTTTCACCATGTTGGCCAGGATGGTCTTGAACTCCTGACCTCAAGTAATCCACCAGTCTCAGCCTCCCAAAGTGCTGGGATTACAGGTGTGAGCCACCGCCCCCAGCCTATTGCCTATTTTCGAGTTGAGTTTTTTTGTTTTCGTAGGAGTTCTTTATATGTTCTTGATATTAATCCCCCATCAGCTATATGATTAGCAAATATTTTTGCCCATTCCACAGGCTACTTTTTAGTTTTGTTGATAGTGTCTTTTGATGCATTTAATTTAATTTTGATGAATTCCAGCTTACTTGTTTTTTTCTTTTGTTGCCTATAAGTTTTATTTCAGTCATCAACTATGATTTGAAAACCTCTGGAGTAGAAGGATAGTCTGTTGTTTTTATCTACATTTCTGCTTTTCTTATTGTTTTTTCTTCTTTCTTGGTGTTTCAAGATTCCTTCTTTTATTGAAGAATTTCCTTATTCTTTAAAGGTATGTCTGCTAGTAACAATTTATTCGTTTTCCTTTTGCCTGTAAATGTCATTATTTCACCATTATTCCTGAAAGATAGTTTCACCACAAATAAGATTTATGGTTGACAATTCTTTTCTTTCAGAAGTTGAAAAATTTTGTGCCACTTTTCTTCTGTCCTTTGTGGTTTCAGATGATAAATCTCTTGCCACTTGAATTGGTGTTCCCCTATAAGGTAATGTGTCTTTTCTCTGTAATTGCTTTCAAAATCTTTATCTTTGTTTTCAGAAGTTTAGTGATATGTCAGGGTTTCTGTGGGTTTACCTGTTTGAGATTTGATCACTTCCTGGATCTGTAGGTTTATGTTTTTCTCCAAATACGGATGTTTTCAGCCATTATTTTTGAATACCCTTTCAATTCCATGCTCTTTTCTTTGGGACTCCAGTGATACGGAGTTAGATCTTACGTTACTGTCTTACAGATCCTCAAGACTTTTAACTTCTTTTTAGTCATTTTTCTTCCTGTTGTTCAGATGGGGTAAATTCTATTGATCTGTTGGTCCTCAAGTTCACAGATTCTGTCTTCTGTCATCTGCTATTGAGCCCATTAAGTTGAAAAAAATAATTTTTAAATTGACAAAAATTGTGTATGTGTGTTGTGTACAACAGATATTTTGATATATGTATACATTGTGGAATGACTAAACTGAGCTAATTAACCTGCGTTACCTTACGTACTCAGCATTTTTTTTGTGTGTGCTGAAAACACAATCGTAGCAATTTAAAGTATGCAGTAAATTATTATTATAAACTATGGACACCATGTTTGTACCATAGATCTCTTGAACTTATTCCTCTTAACTGAAATTTATCTCCTTTGATCAACATTTCCTCACCTATCTAGTAAGTTTTGTTTTTTTTTTGTGTTTTTTTTTTTTTTGGTTGTTATTGTAGCTTGTTTTATCATCATTTGGTTGGTTTTACAACCTTTTTCTTAGCTGAAATTTTCTATTTTTTAAATCTGTTTTAAAAGAATTTGTAATTGATTGTTGAAGTGTTTTTAATGATAGCTGATTGAAAATTAAAAACCTTTCCAACATCTAATACACATCAACATTAACATGTTTATTTTCTTTTTCTCATCCAAGTTGTGACTTTCTTGGTTCTTGGTATGATGGGTGAGTTTTGATTGTATGTTGGGCATTTTGGCTTCTAGATAATTTTTAAATAATCACTTTTCCCCTAAATATGATTAATATATGTTTACTATAGAAAATTTGGAGACTATTAGAAAATATGAAGAAAAACCAATCCTTACTTTTACTACCAAAGGTAATAATCACTGTTAAGTTTTTGTATATTATATATATCTAAAATACATCTGTATATATCCCTATCCCCCTAAATATAATTATAGCTAACATTTTCACATATGAGAACATTGAGATGTGGAGGGTTTTAGGTAACTTTCCCAAGTCACAGAGCCTACCAAGTGATACAAACCCAAGCTTTTGACCCCTAAGTCTATTTAACTACTATGCTACATTCCCACTTCTGTTTTTCTTCCTGGATGCTTCAGAAAAATTGTTTCAGTAGGAGAATGAAGTTCTTTGAGGAGGAATTAGGGTGTTATAGCCATCTTAAGGGACTTAATACAGTGTTTATTTTGGGTAGTTCAGTATTTATGGATATTCATGTACTTGCATGCATTCTGGAGGTTATCTCAGGCAATAGAGAAATGAGCTTTGATACTTCTGTGTATGCATTTATTTAGAGATATTTGTATCAACAAATACCTCCTTAAGGTTGAAGGCCTTTTCTTTTTGACAGATTTTTAAATCTTCTTTCAAGACAAATGCAGAAATATGAAACAACATATAACGAAACCCAATTTTTTTCTTATCAGTGTTACAATGAAATGATGTTATTTGAGGACCTATTCTATGTTGTTTTCTTAAGGCTGCAGTTTCTAAGAACCTATCAGTGATGAAGTGAGGATGCAATTGTAGTGTTTTAATTAAACCATTGTTAGCTTTCTTATTTATTGAACAGCCACGGTATAGGAATTCTTTCATACATTATGTCACTTAAGTGACTATAGGTTGCTTTCTCTCTCTATATAGACAGACAGGTAGGTAGGCAGATGGTAAGCTTAGTTGTTCACTCACATCAGTTGGGTTTTAGGGTGGCTGCCAAAGCATGGATTTAGAAGAAATTATTATTAATCACTGCATTAAGTAGTGACCATATGAAAATTTAGGAATATTTTACTGTCTTTTAGTTCCTCCTTGATGAAGAAAGCTAATCCAGGTATCTGGAGTGGAACTGTTCTCTACTTAGACTTAGGGGACACTGCAATGCTTTATTGCTGGTGGTAGAAGAAATGAAATTTCAGTTAGATTTAGTAGTTCTTTGGAATCATGTAGTAATTCTCCACATTTGTCATCATTAGTAATTAAAAAGAATATAACTATTTGTTTGTATTTGTTTGTGTTTGGTTAGCACATAAATCTGATTAATTTCTCAGGGAATTTGGAAAAAAAGAACACAACCCTCACACTAACAGGAAATCATATCCTCTAGTTAATATTAGGATTCCTGAATATCTTCCTTTTGTATGGTCATTGAGATCAAAATCTTTTTATCATGAAGCTGTTTTTGAAATTTTAACAAGTGAATAGGAAATAACCTAATATTTTTGTTTTGACATTGTTTTTTAAGAACCTTATCTATGTGATAGAATAACATTTAACATTAAAGTTAGTGTCAGAAATCATACAACTTTTAAAGTGCTGCGGAGATAATGGTACCATTTATTTATTTATTTATTTATTTATTTATTTATTTATTTATTTATTTATTTTGAGATGGAGTCTTGTTCTGTCGCCAGGCTGTAGTGCAGTGGTGTGATCTCGGCTCACTGCAACCTCCACTTCCCGGGTTCAAGCGATTCTTCTGCCTCAGCTTCCCAAGTAGCTGGGACTACAGGCGAGTGCCACCACGCCCAGCTAATTTTTATATTTTTTAGTAGAGATGGGGTTTCACTATGTTGGCCAGGATGGTCTTGATTTCTTGACCTCGTGATCCTTCCTCCTCGGCCTCCCAAAGTGCTGGGATTACAGGCGTGAGCCACCGCGCCTGGCAATGAATGGTACCTTTTAATTAATTTTTGTGGAAATGGTATTATCTTCCTAGTGCACAGGGCCCTTGAGAGAGTACAGTGGAATAAAAGTTTAAATATAATAGGAGAAAAATTGTATTATGCTTTGAATGCTATGGTAATGGCTTGTGCATAGCATTGTAGTGTAGATATGTGGAATTGTAATGCAATTCTCTTCTTAACTTTTTATTTAAAAACTTTTTTTTAAGATTTCAGTCAGTCTCTTTTTCTTTTTCTTTTTTTTTTTTTTTTTGAGACAAAGTCTCGCTCTGTCGCCTAGGCTGGAGTGCAATGGCGTGATCTTGGCTCACTGCAACCCTTCACCTCCCAGGTTCAAGCGATTCTTCTGTCTCAGCCTCCTGAGTAGCTGGGATCATAGGCGCACACCACCACGCCCAGCTAATTTTTGTATTTTTAATAGAGATGGGATTTCGCCATGTTGGCCAGGCTGCTCTCGAACTCCTGACCCTAGGTAATCTGCCTGCCTCAGCCTCCCAGAGTGCTGGGATTACAGGTCTGAGCCACCGTGCCCGGCCAGTCGGTCTCTTTTTCTCCTTTCCCACTCTAACCAGTTATCTAGATTGTTCTATTCTACCTCCGAAATAGATCTAACACCTTTCTTTTATTATTATTATTTTGTGATGGAGTTTCGCTCTGTAGCCCAGGCTGGAGTGCAGTGGCATGATCTTGGCTCACTGAAACCTCCACCTCCCGCTTCAAGCAATTCTCATGCCTCAGCCTCCCGAGTAGCTGGGATTACAGGTGCGTGCCACCACCCCTGGCTAATTTTTGTATTTTTTTAGTAGAGTCAGGGTTTCACATGTTGGCAAGGCTGGTCTCGAATGCCTGACCTCAAGTGATCCACTCGCATTTGGCCTCCCAAAAGGATCTGACATTTCTTTTTTATTTCCTTTACTTTGATTCACACCCTCATTTTCTCTTTCTTCTCCTATTAGAGTGGTCTGTTACTTTTTTCCCTTTTACTGATCTCTTCCTCAGCCAATTGATAACTCTTTATTATTGGCTTTCAAAATGTTTAACTTCAACCCAAGTAAAAATTAAGAAATTCCTGATACATTATGACACAGAGCTTATGTGTATATTTAAATTAAAAAAAAAACTGCAAAGGTTTAATGAAAAATAACCTTTAAAATTACTACTTGTGATACAATTCTATTTTCATTTTAATTCTGTTATACTCTACTTAAAAATTACTGGTAGAAAGCAACTAAATTGAATTTGAAACTCCCAGCAGTTTGAAAAATTGCTTTATTTTACTTTCAGTAGACAAATTTTATACTTTCTTAAAATCCTTTTGTGGATCTATTGTTTACAGAGTAGTGGCCTTCAGATATAATTTTGACCATGACTCACTAAAAGAAATAGATTTTACACCTGTGACCCAGTATACACATATGCATAAACGTATACACACACACACTCACATATATATATACCATATATATATACACCATATACATATACACCATATATATATACACCATATACATATACACCATATATAAGGAACACCATATATATACATACCATATATATACACCATATATATACATACCATATATACACCATATATATACCATATATACACACCATATATATACCATATATATACACCATATATATACCATATATATACACACCATATATATACCCCATGTATATACACACCATATATACACACCATATATATACACACCATATATATACACACCATATATATACACACCATATATATATACACACCGTATATATACACTGTATATATACACACCATATATATATACACACCGTATATACACACCATATATATACACACCGTATATATACACACCATATATATACCGTATATATACACACCATATACACCGTATATATACACACCATATATATACACCATATATACACACCATATATATACACCATATATACACACCATATATATACCATATATACACCATATATATACCATATATACACACACCATATATATACCATATATACACACCATATATACACCATATATACACACCATATATATACACCATATATATACCATATATATACACACCATATATATACACACCATATATATACACCATATATATACCCACCATATATATACCATATATATACCATATATACACACCATATATATACACCATACATATACACACCATATATATACACCATACATATACACGCCATATATATACCATACATATACACGCCATAGATATACCATATATATACACGCCATAGATATACACCATATATGTACACGCCATAGATATATACCATATATGTACACGCCATAGATATACCATTATGTACACGCCATAGATATACCATTATGTACACGCCATAGATATACCATATATGTACACGCCATATATATACACACCATATATATACCATATATACACACACCATATATATACCATATATACACACACCATATATATACCATATATACACACACCATATATATACCATATATACACACACCATATATATACCATATATACACACACCATATATATATAACATATATATACCATATATACACACACCATATATATACCATATATACACACACCATATATATACCATATATACACACACCATATATATATACCATATATATACCATATATACACACACCATATATATACCATATATACACACACCATATATATATACCATATATACACACACCATATATATACCATATATATACACACCATATATATATACCATATATATACACACCATATATATATATATACCATATATATATACCAGAAGCAATTTTATGCCTCTCCATTTACTATTTCTTCTGTTGGGACACGTTTCTCCCTACCTTGATTATATGACAGACTTTCATTTATTCTTCTGAATACAGCTGGGACATTCTTGAAGTTGATGTAATATGACAAAAAATAAAGATTCCTTCTCAAACAGTGGCAGCAACGATGTCATCAAACCAACTTGGAAAGAATTGTTTTCTCAGAGAATTAAACCACACGAAATCAATTAAATCAGTGTGCAATGAATTACACAAGTTTTCTGGTTAGAAAGACCTGACAGTACCTGCTTGGTAATACTGGCTTATTTAAATAATAGGGATTGTAGCAAACGATGTGGTCATAATGGACTCATGTAAAATGGAGCCTTATTAAGGGTTAGCTTGTCAGGTGTCATCTAAGTACAAGTGAGTGGGCTTTTTTTAGCCCAAGGATGGAATCTGTTTCTGGTGGAGTTATTCTTGTTATTATGTAAATGTTTTTATTGGATATAGGCTTTTTTTTGGGTCCAGATTGCATGTTCAACTTTACCCCAAGTATTTGTGTTGGAAAATTTGAAATTTGCAGAAAAGTTGCAAGAATACTGAGCAACTTTATATTTTGTCACATTTTAGTTTGTCCCTTTCTCTTTATACACACATGTATATATTACTTTTGCTGAACTGTTTAAAAGTAAGTTGCAGAGATCTTGTTCTTTTCCATTGAAATACTTTATCATGTATTTCCCAAGAATAAGGACAATAGCCTACAAAACCAAATATAATGAATTTAACATTAATGTATTATTCATATATCGTCAGTTATTCCTATAGTGTCGTTTATATTTGTCTGTTTTAATGAACTGCATTTAATTGTTATGTCTTTTTTGTCTCCTTTAATCTAGAACAGTCCTTTTTGCTTTTTATTTCTTTTGTAACATTAACATTTTTGAAGAGTTTAGGATAGTTCTGCAGAATGTGTCTCAATTTGTATTTGATTGTTTTCTCATAGTTACACTTAGATTAACCATTACTGGCAGAGATATGCCATAGGTCATGAGTTCTCAGTACATAAGGGCACATGACGTCAATTATCCTATTGATGATGTACCTAAGTTTGGACTTGGTTAAGGTGGGTTGCACCAGATTTTGCTATTATGAAAAATACCTTTCCCTTTATAATTAATAAATAATAAGTACCCATTGGTTTTAATAGCCGTTGATTATTTTTACCTGAATCATTTATTTTCTTGTAATGATACTGTAAAATGGTGGTTTTTCCCTCTATTTGTAATTTCGTTGAAATTTATTAGTTGGCAATCTTCATTAGGGAATCTTAGGATTACAGTTTGGCTTCCCACTTAGTAGGCTTGTAGGGGAGATTAGGCTGGGCAGAGATACATGCAGGCATGCATGTATTTTATTTTATTATTATTATTTTTTCAGACAAGGTCTTGCTTTGTTTCTCAGGTTGGAGTGCAGTGGTGTAATCACTGTTCACTGCAGCCTCAACCTCCCAGGTTCAAGCGATCTTCCCACCTCAGCCTTCCTATTAACTAAGACTACAGATGCATGCCACCATGCCCAGCTAATGCTTTATTTTTTGTATAGACAGGTTCTCACCAATTTCCCAGGCTCGTCTTGAACTCTTGGACTTGAGTGATCCTCCCTCCTTGGCCTCCCAAAGTGCTGGGATCACAGGCATGAGCCACCGTGCCTGGCTTAATTTTGTTGTTGTTGTTAATAGATAAATTGTCCTTGTGGTTTCTATATTAGTCACTTTCGAGCTTTGTTAAATGGATCAACAACCTTATATCCCATCAACTCTTAATAGTTGACTCACTTGAGTTTAAGTTATATATCCTGGAGCAGTCATCTTGACTTTTGCTATTTAATGATGTTTCTTGACAGTTAGCAAGTTATATAGCTTGTTCTGGGTGAAACCCTTCTGCCTTGCATCTTTACCCATTTGTATTCCATTTTTACAGTGATTTATTTCAAGGCAATGAGGACAAGGAGGATGCAAAATCAAAAAAGGCATTGGATTTAATGGTTAAAGGTGGTGTATAAGGGACAGGAATGCAGTTTGAGTAAAATGGTGAATACTTCTAGATAGGCACAAAAATTTTATTTCCCCTAGTTCACTTTTTAAAAATTAATAAACTTTATTTTTTAGAGCAGTTTTAGCTTTATGGCAAAATTGAGGGGAAAGTAGAGTTCCCATATTCCACCCCCTCTTTTTCCCACTGTTGACATCCAGCACACTGGCACATTTGTTTCCAGTGGTGAACTTACATTAGCATATTATTGTCACCCAGTGTTCATAGTTTACATTAGGGTTTATTCTTGGCATTGTACATTCTATAGGTTTTCACAAATGTTTAATGACATGTATCCCACATTGTGGTGTCATACAAAATAGTTTCATTGCCTAAAAATCCTGTTTATTTTGTCTGTTCATTCTTCCTTCCCCCTTAGCCCCTGTCAGTCACTAATCTTTTTACTGTCTCCATAGTTTTACCTTCTCCAGGATGTTGTATAGATGGAATTGTACAGTATGTAGCCTTTTCACATTGGCTTCTTTCACTAAATAACATGCATTTAGGATTCATTCTTTCTTTCCATGGTTTGATAGCTAATTTCTTTTTTTGTCTGAATGCACCATAATTTATCCAGTCAGCTAGTGGTGGTTTGTGGATTTTGGCAATTATGAATAAAGGTGCTTATAAACATTTGTATGCAGGTTTTTTTGTGGCCAGAAGTTTTCAATTTATTGGGATAAATAACAAGAAGCCTGATTGCTGGATAGTATAGTAAAAGTATGTTTTGGAAGAAACTGCCAAACTGTCTTCCATAGTGGCTGCACCATTTTGCATTCCCACCTGTAGTGAGTGAGAGTTCCTGTTGCTCTACATTCTTGTCAGCATTTGATATTGCCAGATTTTTGGATTTTGGCCATTGTAAAAGGTGTATAGTGATATCTTGTTTGAATATGCTGTTTTCTAATCACATATGATGATATATAATGGTTTGGCTATGTGACTCCTCTAGATCTGTAGTTATGGCCAGGGTGGTGACTCATACCTATAATCCCAGCACTTTGGGAGGCTGAGGTGGGAGGATTGCTTGAGGCCAGGAGTTTGAGACCAGCTTGGCCAACATGAGACTGCGACTCTGTCTCTACAAAAAGAAAAAATTAGCCAGATGGTGGTCAGCACACCTGTGGTTCCAGCTACTCAGGAGACCGAGTGGGGAGGATCACTTAAGCCTGAGAGGCCAAGGCTGCAGTGAGCTATGATTGTGCCACGGCACTCCTACCTGGGCAACAGGGTGAGACCCTGTCTCCTAAATAAATAAATAAATCTCATGTTGAAATGTAATTCCTAATGTTGGAGGTGGGACCTGGTGAGAGGGGTTTGGGTCATGGGGGAGGATCCCTCATGGCTTGCTGCCATCTTCCTGATATTGAGTTTGTTTTCACGAGGTCTGGTTGTTGTAAAGTGTGGCACCTTGCCCGCTACTCACTCTTGCTCTGCTTTCACCAAACATCATGTGATATGTTTGTTCCCGCTTTGCCTTCCACCATGAGTAAAAGCTCCCTGAGCCTACCCAGAAGCTGAGCAGATGCTGACACCATGCTTCCTACACAGCCTGCAGAACCATGAGCCAGTTAAACCACTTATAAATTACCCAGGCTCAGGTATTTCTTTATAGCCATGCAAGAATGGTCTAATGCATATGATATTGAACATCTTTTCATGTGTTTATTTGCCATCTTTATATCTTCTTTGGTGAGATGTCTGTTCAGGTCTTTTGCCCATTTTAAAATCAGGTTTGTTTTCTTATTGTTGTGAAGAGTTCTTTGTATATTTTTGGATAACAGTCCTTTACCAGATGTGTCTTTTGAAAATATTTTTCTCCCAGTCTATGGTTTGTCTTTTCATTTTCTTGACAGTTGCTTTTTGCAGAGCAGAAGTTTTTAATTTTAATGAAATCCAGCTTATTCGTTTTTTCTTTCATGGATTGTGACTTTTGTGTCTGAGAAGGCATCACCATAGCCAAGGTCATTAGATTTTCTTTTTTGTTATTGTCTAGGAGTTTTATAGTTTTGCATTTTAATTTCGGTCTGTGATCCATTTTGAGTTAAATTTTGTGAAGGCTGTAAGGTGAGTGTTTACATTCTTTTTTTTTTTTTTTTTGTCATGTGGATGTCTAGTTGTGCCAGCACTGTTTGTTAAAAAGTCTGTCTTTGATCCATACCTTTGCTCTTTTTTCAAAGATCAATTGATTATATTTATTTGGGTCTGTTTCTGGGTTTCCTGTTCCGTTCCATTGATTTATTTGTCCTTTTCTGAAATACCACACTATCTTGGTTACTATAGCATTATAATAAGTCTAGTAGTGTCAATCCCTCCGACTTTTTCTTTCAATGTTATGTTGGCTATTCTAGGTCTTTTACCTCTCCATAAAAACTTTAGAATCCGTTTGTTGATATCCACAAAATAATTGCTGGGATATTGATTGGAATTGTGCCAAATCTGTACGTCAAGTTGGGAAGAACAGACATGTTGATATTGAGTCTTATTCATGAACTTGGAGTATCTCTGCATTTATTTAGTTCTTTGTTATCTTCCATCATAGTTTTGTAGTTTTTCTTTTATAGATCCTGTACATATTTTGTTAGAATTATACCTAAGTATTTCATTTTTTGGTTGCTAATGTAAATGGTAATGTGTTTTAAGTTTCTTTTGTACAAACAGGAAAGCCAGTGGCTTTCCTTGTATTCTGCAACCTTGCTTGTTAGTTCCATGAGGTTTTTTGTCAGTTCTTTAGAATTTTCTACCTAGACAATCCTGTCATCTGAGAACAAAGACAGTATTATTTCTTCTTTTCCAATCAGTATACCTTTTTCCTTTTTCTGTTTTACTGCATTAGCTAGGACTTTGAGTATGATTTTGAAAAACAGTGGTAAGAGGAGGTGTCCTTGCATTTTTCCCCATCTTGGTGGGAAAGCTTTGACATTCTCACCATTAAGTATGGTGTTAGCTGTAGATTTTTTGGTAGATTTTTTTTTTTTATCAAGTTGAGGAAGTTCCCTTCTATTCCTAATTTGCTCAGCGTTTTAGTCATGATTGGGTATTGGATACCGTCAAATGGATTTTCTGCATCTATTAATATGATCATGTGATTTTTCTTCACCCTGACGTGATTGATTACATTGATTTTTAAAAATGTTGAGCCAGTCTTGGTAAATACTGCTTGATCATGGTATGTAAGTACATTGTTGGATTTAATTTGCTAATATTTTGTTGAGGATGTTCGCATCTATGTTCATAAGAGATTGGTCTGTAGTTTTCTTTTCTTGTAATGTCTTTGTCTGGTTTTGGTATTAGGTTAGTATTGTCCTCACAGAATGACTTAGGAAGTAACTGCTATGTCTCTGAAAGAGACTGTAGAGAATTGGTATTCTTTTCTTTATATGTTTATTAGAATTCACCAGTGAACCCATCTGGATTTGGTTCCCTCTGTTTCTGAAAGTTAGTTATTGATTCAATTTTTTTAATAGATGTAGGTCTATTCAAGATTTTTTTTTCTACTGTGAGTTTTGGCAGATTATGTTTTTTAAGTAGTTGCTCCATTTCATTTAGCTTTGCAAATTTGTGGGCGTAGATTTATTTACAATATTAGTTTATTATCTTTTTAATGACTTTGGGGTCAGTAGCGATTAGTAAAGATCTTCTCTTTCAGTTCTGATATTAGTAATTTGTCTTCTGTCTTTTTTTGTAAGTCTGGCTAGAGGCTTATCAGTTTTATTGATTTTTTCAGAAAAGTTACTTTTGGGTTTGTTAATTTACTCTATTGATTTCCTGTTATCAATTCCATTGATTTTTGCTGTAATTTCTATATTTCTCTTTATCTGCTTACTTTGGAGTTAATTTGCTTTTCTTTCTTGCTTTCTATGATGAAGTTTAGATTATTATTATTATATACAAATTTTATTTAAGAGACAGGGTCTCACTATGTGGCTCAAGCTGGAGTGCAGTGGCTATTCCCAGGTGCAATCCCACTACTGATCTGTGTTTTGACCTGCTCTGTTTCCAACCTGGGTGGTTCACCCCTCCTTAGGCAACCTGGTGGTGTCCTGTTCCCAGGGGTGTTGATACCAAACTAATCGTGGAGGTTTACTGGGCATAATGTACTACAGTCCAGAACTTCTGGATTCTATCCATTTTTCTGCCTTCACCTCCCAGGTAACTGGGACTACAAGTGTGTGCCAGTGCTCCTAGCTGAAGCTCTGATTACTGATTTTTTATCTTTCTTACATGTGCATTCAAACTATAAGTTTTCCTCCAAGCACTGCTTTTGCTGCATCCCAGAAGTGTTAAATTGTATTTTCATTTTAATTTAAAGTATTTTAAAATTGCTCTTCACATTTCTCTTTGATTAATGTGTTTATTCAGAAGTACTTTGGAATTTTCCTATGTTTTGTTATTTATTTCTAGTTTAATTCTGTGGTCTGATAGTAGACATTATATGATTTCTATACTTATAAATTTGTTAAGGTGTGTTATTACCCAGAATGTGGTCTATGTTGGTAAATATTTCATTCGAGCTTGGAGAGAATGTGCAGTCTGCTGTTGTTGGATGAAGTAGTCTATAGATGTCAGTTATATCCAGTTAATTGAAAGTGCTGCTGAGTTAAACTATATCTTTACTGATTTATTGCTGGCTGGATCTGCCCATTCCTGATAGAGCCATGTTGAAATCTCAACTCTAATAGTGCATTTATGTATTTCCTCTTGAAGTTCTGGTTTTTTTTTATTTTTACTCTTCATTGTTAGGCATATATATATTAAGGATCATTGGGTCTTCTTGAGGTATTGATCCCTTTATCATTACTTAATGCCTCTCTTTATCCCTGGTAACTTTCCATGCTCTGAAGTTGGCTCCGTCTGAAATTAATATAGCTGCTCCCACTTTCTTCTGATTAGCGTTAGCGTGGTGTATCTTTCTCCATCCCTTTGCTTTTAATCTGTATGTGTTTTTATATTTAAAATGAGTTTCTTGTTCATATAGTAGGATCTTGTTTTTTGGTCTACTTTGACAGTGTCTTTTAACTGGTATATTAGACTTGATGTTTAAAGTGGTTATTGATATAGTTAAATTAATATTCACCATATTTCTTACGATTTTCTATTTGTTGCCCTGTTTCTTTGTAACTTTTTGTTATGCACTTTTTCTGTCTTTTGTGATTTAATTATTTTATATGATTTCATTTTTCTCTCATTTTTGAGCACACCAGTTATATATATATATTTATTTTATTTTATTTATTTATTTATTTTTTTGAGACACTGTATCACCCAGGCTGGAGTACAGTGGCGTGATGTTGTCTCACTGCTCCATCTCCCTGGCTCAAGTGATCCTCCCACCTCAGCCTCTTAAGTAGCTGGAACGATAGATGCACACCACCATGCCTGGCTAGTTACTGTTTGTGCTTTTTTTTGTAGAGATAGGGTTTTGCCATGTTGCCCAGGCCGGTCTCAAATTCCTGGGCTAAAGCAATCCACTCACCTTGGCCTCCCAAAGTGCTGGGATTATAGGCATGAGCCACCACGCCTGTCCTCTAGTTTTGGTTTTTTTTTTTTGAGATGGAGTCTTGCTCTGTCATCCAGGCTGGAATGCAGTGTTACCATCTCTGCTCACAGCAACCTCCACCTTCCATATTCAAGCAGTTCTCCTGCCTCAGCCTCTGGGGTAGCTGGGATTACAGGCGTGCGCCACCACGCCCAGCTAATTTTTGTGTTTTTAGTAGAGATGGAGTTTTGCCATGTTGGCCAGGCTGGTGTTGAATTCCTGACCTCGAGTGATCTGCCTGCCTTGGCCTCCCAAAGTGTTGGGATTACAGGTGTGAGCCACTACAACCAGCCTTTTTTTTTTTCTTTTTTTTCCTAACTTAAGTGTTTGCCCTGGAGCTTGCAATATACATTTACAGTTTTCCAAGCACATTGTCAAATAGTACTGTATTGCTTCATGGGTTGTGTAAGTACTTTATAATAACAAAATATTCCTGTTTCCTTGCTTCTGTCCTTTTCTATCTTGTCATTCATTTCACTTATACATAGGCATACGCAAGCAGATACATCATTGCTATTATTTTGAACTGTTACCTTTTAGCTGAATTAAAAATAAGAAAAATAAAAGTTTTTATTTTGCCTTCACTTGTTCTCTCATGTTCTTCCTGAGTTTCTGACCTATATCATTATCCTCTTTCATGAAATTATTTTAATGTGTCTTGCAAGGCAGGTCTACTGGCAACACAAGTCTTCAATTTTTGTTTGTCTGAGAATGTCTTTATGTTTCTTTCACTCTAGAAGGATAGTTTCACATGGTATAAATTTTTAGGTTCATGTTTTTTTTCTCTCAACACTTTAGTTTAATTTCATTCTACTCTCCTGTTTGCATTGTTTCTAAGGAGAAGCTGGTCTTCTGTAGGCAAGGTGTTTTTTGCCTCTGGTTTCTTTCAAGATTTTTTTCTTTGCTTTTGATTTTCTGAAGCTTGAATATGATATGCTTAGATTTTTAAAAATTATTTTTAGGTTTTTAGGGGCCTCAGTCTTAATGTTATCTGAGTTTTATGGATCTGTGGTTTGGTGTCTGATATGAACTTGGAAATTCTTAGTCATTATTGTTTCCTTGTGTTACCAGTGTATTTAAGTTACACCTTTTTTAGTTTCCTACAGTTCTTGAATGTTCTACTCTTTCTTTTTCCTCTCTTTTTTTTCTTTGCTTTTCAGTTTTGGAAGTAGTTTCTGTTGTTAGACCCTTAAGCTCAGAGATGCTTTCCTTAGCTATGTTCAGTCTACTAATGAAGCCATTAAAGACATTCTTCATTTCTGTTATGTTGCTTTTGATTTCTAACATTTCTTTTTATCCTTTCTTAGAATTTCCGTTTCTCTGCTTACATTGTCTATGTATTTGCATATTGTCTACCTTTTTCATAAAGCACCTAGCATATTAATCATAGTTTTAAAAAATTCCCAGTCTGGTAACTCCAGAATTCCTGACATGTCTGTTTTTGATACTTGCTCTGTCTCTTCAAGCTGTTTTTTGCCTTTTATTATGTCTTGTAATTTTTTATTGAAAGGTATACATGATGTACTAGGTAAAAGGAACTGCTGCAAATAGGCCTTTAGTGATGTAGTTATAAGGGAGGCATTGTGTAGTTCTAGTATTAGGTCCCAGTTTTTTGGTGAACCTGTGCTCCTGGACTGTGAACATAACCATTGTTTCTCAGTCCCCCACCCTTATCCCTGTCACCTTTAGGTGGGACAGAATGGTTAGAAAGGACTGGAATTTGGTATTTCCCTTCCCTCTTGTGAAAGGCTGAAGTGAACTGGAGTTGTTTACAGTACTTCTTTACCCACAGGTAGGTTAGGCTCTGGTAAATTAGTTTCTGTTCAAGGCAGGCCTTGTTAAGAACTGATTGCTCTGGCGTATTTCAAAATTGTTCTTTTTTCCTTCCCCCTACCAGAAGCACAAAGGGATTTTTCTCTGATATTTACTGTAAGGGCATAGTAGAGCTCCTGGAGGTAAAATTCACAAGAGTGTCAGGGCCTCACATGACTGGATCCTCCTGGAGTTTTTAATTGTCATTTGTTGGCACTGAGTCTCCAGCAATTTGTCATTATAGTTGAGGCTTTCTTACCCTGGCACTGGTTCCCAAGGAAGTTTCTGCTTGTGGGTTTCTGCTCTGATGACTTGAGATTTTTCTCTATCTGCCTACCTGTCTCTCAATTTTGGGGAACCGTGGTTTGCCCTGTGACCTCACTTCTCTGAAGGATCTAACTACAGCTATTGGTTTTTCAGTTTGCTTAGCTTTTTACTTGTTAGGATGGAGTGGTGACTTTTAATCTTCTTACATGTAAAGAAGGAACAGGAGGCTGGGCACGGTGGCTCACACCTGTAATCCCAGCACTTTGGGAGGCCGAGGCGGGTGGATCACGAGGTCAGGAGATCGAGACCATCCTGGCTAACATGGTGAAACCCTGTCTCTACTAAAAATACAAAAAATTAGCCGGGCATGGTGGCGGGTGCCTGTAGTCCCAGCTACTCGGGAGGCTGAGGCAGGAGAATGGTGTGAGCCAGGGAGGCGGAGCTTGCAGTGAGCCTAGATCGTACATGCCACTGCACTCCAGCCTGGACGACAGAGCGAGACTCTGTCTCAAAAAAAAAAAAAAAAAGAAGAAGAAACAGGAAGGAACAGGAAACTGACAGGCAGCAGCTTAAAGCCTGTTTAAAGGTTACAAGTTTTAAAGGGGTTAAAAAGAGATTGGTTTGTGGGAATTCGGAGGCTACATCCTTTCAGAGAATGAGTAGTTAGAGGGGATAGCAAATTAAAGGGAGTAGTTTTTTCAGAATAGCAAAAGATAATATTTGATAATGTTTTTTTATTCTTAATAGTAAATATTTAGCTATTTTATAAATCAATCATTGAGGTTGGATTTTTTGTTTTTACCCTAGTGTATTTGAAAGTAAATGATGCTTTATTTTCAATATTTGCTGATGTATTTAATCAAAACCTAGAGAATTGAGATAGACATTGTATCAGAAGAAAGCAGTTTTGAACAAAGAGAGCGAATTACTAGCCAGTTAACAAGTGTCAGCTGTTTTATAAGCATGGCATAACACTTCCTAAATTGTGCACTGCATTGTTCAGTTAAAGGAATTGGCGTTCTGTGACTTTTTGACAGTTAAATAATTTGAGAACTTCTGCATTTTGGGCCTGTGCTCTTGGAAATCCAGAATGTACATTAACTTATTTATGCCTAGTGTTCCATTAATGGAACGCTAAGCATCTGGGAGTTCTTTATATCCTACTGCTCAAGGTCATCGCCAAGGTCTGATTTTTCACCCTCAAAAAATTGCAACCTTAGACATAAATACAGGAGTCCTATGAGTCATTAATATACTAAACAAACTTTCTTGTTTAACTCTGCTTTTTCTAAACTTACATGCTTAGTGATCATTCTTTGCAGGGCGTGTTTTGAGAAACATAGTAATAGCAAGTAGTTAAGTTTCTATCTACCTGGTGTTCACAGTGGGAGTAGTATAGAGGAAGAACCCAAGTTTAGCCTTTGGAAAACCTGAGTTTGTGGTTTTTAATGCTTTTAGTGAATCACTATATTGGAAAAGTTAATTTAAGTTCCTCATGATTGTTTCCTTTTGTAAAATATAGTAACATTTCTCCATTTCTAATTCACAGTGATGCAGATGTTTTATAGTTACCAAAAAGGCTATAATAAAGTACTTACATATAAGGTTTGTATATGGTTCTCTTTTCTTTTTTATTGTCTATATGTAAGGTACACAACATAATGTTTTGATATGCATATATGTAGTGAAGTAATTACTACAGTCAAGTAAATTAACATATCCCGCATCTCCCATAGTTAACCGTTTGTGTGTGTGTGTGTGTGTGTGTGTGGTAAGAGTGCCTAAAAAATATGGAATGCTTCACAAATTTGCATGTCATCCTTGAGCAGGGGTCATATTGATCTTTTCTCTATTATCATCCCAATTTTTAGTATATGTGCTGCAGAAGTGAGTACTGTATATGGTTCTTACAAAGAAGGGGAACGTTTGACACCTGCTTTCTGGTGGTAGGTGTGATGTTGATGTGAATTGTTCCAGGAGTCAGAAACCTATATAGATGTTGAAAGAATAAATCAGTATGCAAGGGAATGGTGTGTTAACATTATGTAGAGGCAACAGTGCTAAGGAGTTATACTATTTTCTTATAATTTTTTTCCTTTGGACACTATAATATGTGGTGAAGGGATGACCAATAAAACAAGAATAATAGATATTTAGTGTTGCTTATTAAGAGTTAAGCGGAGGGCTGGGTGCAGTTGGCTCATGCCTGTAATCCCAGCACTTTGAGGGGCCAAAGGAGAGAGGATTGCATGAGCCCGGGAGTTAGAGACCAAACCGAGCAACATAGGGAGACCCTGTCTCTACAAAAAATAAAAATAAAAAGTTTAGCAGGGCATGGTGGTAGCACACTTGTGGTCCCAGCTACTTGGGAGGCTGGGGTAGGAAGTTCACGTGAGCCCAAGTGGTTGAGCTTGCAGTGAGTTCTGATCTTGCCACTGCACTCTCACTCGCTTGGATGACCAAGCGAGATATGTCTCATAAGCTGGGCAGGGTGGCCTCTGCGTGTAATCCTAGCTACTTGGGAGGCTGAGGTGGGAGAACTGCTTGAGGCCAGGAATTTGAGACCGCCCTTAACAACCTAACAAGACCCTGTCTCAAAAAAATATTAAAATAAAAAGAGTTAGATGGATTACAAGAAAGCTTCCCTAGCTGGTAAGTTTATCCTGCTTACTAATGACAGAAATATAGTTGAAACATGATAGAATAAAGTTTTGGATGAAATCTTATGCAATTATTTATAAGGTAATATCTACAATTTAATTATTTTGTTGTAAGGATGTTAAAATGAGTTTTAGAATAATGCATACTATTAGAAGAGCTTTTTATATGAAAAGAAAATATTCAGATTTTTTGTTATTGAAAAAGTTTAAAAGATGATTATATGATTAAAATTTACATAGTTAACGAACAGAGAAAATGAAAAATGGTGACAAAATCCTGAGAGGTATAAAACTACATATGCCAAAGAGGCAGATGCATGAATTTCTGTCCTGTCTCTGACCTTAGTGGGCATGAGGCATTAGTCACGGAAAGGCAGAAAAGATGAGGCAGGGTTAGGTCCTGGCTGTGAGTCACCCATTGACTCAGCTGTTAGTACCAACCACTTAGTCTTAGGCTGCTGAATGGGACATAAGTGAATTTTCAAGTTACCACTGTTGTGGCCTCTACAAACATTTGGCAGTATTGGGGGGTTAAGGGAGATTAAGTCCAAGACAATATAACAGATGAGGGAGAGGGTAACAGCTGGACAACACATTGTTATAAAGTGTTTAGTGTAGATATAATTTTGACTGTCTAATGTTTTATTTATGTATATGTATAATTACATATAATATATATGCACATACTAATTTTAAAGCATGCTCCCTTTAGTGTTGAAATGAAAGTTTTAGTATAGAGTTTTTCTGTATTTAGAATTACTTTTTTTCCCTTGGGTATACTTTTTCTTGAAGTATAACACATATAAAGCATAGTATCTTCAGTGTTCAGCACAATGAATTTTAACAAGTGGGTGTACCTGTGTAATCCATACTTAAAGAACCCCAGAATATTATCAGCATCTTAGATGTCTTTTTGTGCCTACTTTCTGCCTAATACACACACCACCTCTTCCTGAAAAACAAAATTCTAACTTCTTGTATCCTAGATTATTTCTGACTTTTTGAGTTTTATATAATAAAATTGAATCACATACAGGTTGAGTTTCCCTTAATGCTTAGGACCAGAAGTGTTTCAGATTTCGTATTTTTGGGGGGCTTTATTTGCATTATACCAGTTGAGCATCCTTAATCTGAAATCCAGATATTCCAATGAGCATTTCCTTTGTGTGTCATGGTGGTCCTCAAAGTTTCAGATTTTGGAGCATTTTGGATTTCAATTTTCAGATTAGGGATACTCAACCTTTACTATCTATTCTTTTGTGTGTTACTTTGTTATGTTTATGAGATTTATTCATGTTGTTGCATGTGACACTATTTCACTCATCTCCATTGCTTGTGTTACATTGTGACTATACCAACAGTGTATTATCCTTTTCTACTAGTGATGGACATGACATTTAGGGTGTGTCTAGTTTGACTATTACAGATAGCATTGCTATGAATTTTCTGATAATGACTTTTAATGAACATGTATAGACATTTATGTTATACACCTAGGATTAGAATTGCTGGGTCATAGGATGTTCATATAATAAGCTTGGTAGGTATTGCTGAATAGTTTTGCAAAGTGTTTGTACCCATTTAAATTCTGAGTAGCAACATGTGAGAATTTCAGTTGCTCTACATTCTTGTGAACATTTAGTATTGTTTACCCTTTTCATTGTAGTGATGTAGGTGGGTTGGTGGTGTAATAGCTCTTGTGGTTTTAATTTTTATTTTCTTGATGTGATGACTAATGGAAGTGTGTATTTTTTCATATGTTCATTGGTCATTTCTATAACCTCTTTCATGAAGAGGTTATAGTTCAAGTCTTCAAGTCTTCTGTCCAGTTTTCTATTGGTTTTTCTTTTTTTGTATTTATTTCTGGTTATTCTCTGTCTTGGCTATGAGTCTTTTGATGAGTATATATCTTATAGAAATCTTCAATTTCGCACTGTTGTTTTTTTAACAGAAGTTAATTTTATCAGTTTTTTCTCTCTTTGTGGTCGAAGTGTAACACACATAAAGCATAGTATTCTATATACTATAGTATACTATACTGTATAGTATAGTATACTATACTAAAGCATAGTATTCTAAGTGTTCAACGCAATGAGTTTTAACAAGTGGATGTACCTGTGTAATCCATACTTAAAGAACCCCAGAATATTATCAGCATCCTAGATATCTTTTTGGGCCTGCTTTCTGCCTAATACGCACACCACCTCTTCCCGAATAAACAGAATTCTAACTTCTCACATCCCAGATTATTTCTGACTTTTTCAGCTTTATATAATAACATTGAATCATAAACAGGTTGAGGTTTTTGGAGTCATGTTTAAGAAATCTTTGCATGCTCGAAGGAGATGAACGTATTTGCCTGTGTTTTTTTCTAGATGCTTTATTGTCTTTTTCTTTTAGACGTACATATGGAATTGATTTTTGTGAATGGAGCAAGGAAGAGGTCAAGATTCATTTAAAAACAATGTCCATATCTAGTTGACCCATTTCCGTCAAGTAAAGAGCTCATATTTTTCATACATGTGTGAGTTTGTTACATCTCACTTCTGTCCCATTAGTCTACTTGTCTATCTTTACATTAATTCTCAATGTATAATAGCACGACTAATTGTTCTTCAGTAGGACCTGTCTCTTTTTCACTAGTGAAATTGATACTTTGTGACCTTTTTCATTTGTTCAGTCTTCTTCCAGTCTATCAATTTTGTTAATCTTTCCAAGAACTAATTTTTCATTTTTTTTCCTGAAGTCTTACGTTGTACCTTTGCTTTTGATTTCATTAATTGTGTCCTATTTTTTTTTTCTGTCTTTTCAGGTTTAACTTTTTGTCTTTTCTAATTTCTTGAGGTAGATACTTAAATAATTCTTCTCAGTCTTCTTTTTTAATATAAGCATTTAAGGTTACAGATTTCCCTTCAAGCATAACTTCAGCTACGTGTCACAAATTGTTATATGACCTGTCTGCATTTGATTTCTTCACTAGCATATTGTGAAGACATATTTCCACATAAATGTCAACTTTTACAGTTTTTCTAGGGGTTAGTAATTTTTTGATTTAGTTCCCTTGAGAGAACATACTCTGAATGAATTCAGTCATTTGAAATGAGGCTCGCTTTTTGATTCAGCATATGGTTTCAGATTAATGTTCTATGTTCACTTGAAAGGTATATATATATAATTCATATATATAATTCATAATTCTAGATATGCATACACCAATTTCTAATGAATTGATTACTGTATTATTACGAAATGTCTGTTATCTTTGATACTTCTTGTCTTTTTTTTTTTTTTTTTTGAGGCAGAGTTTTGCTCTTGTCGCCCAAGCTGGAGGCGCGATCTCGGCTCACTGCAAACTGCACCTCCTGGGTTCAAGTGATTCTCCTGCCTCAGCCTCCCAAGTAGCTGGGACCACAGGCGCCCACCACTACACCTGGCTAATTTTGGTATTTTTAGTAGAGACAGAGTTTCACCATGTTGACCATAGCTGGTGTCAAACTCCTGACCTCTGGTGATCCTCCTGCCTCAGCCTCCCAAAGTTTTGGGATTACAGGCATGAGCCACTGCGCCCAGCTGATACTTCTTGTCTTAAAATCTAGTTTGTCTGACATCAGTTTTCTTTTGATTAGTGCTAGTGTGGTAAAGCATTTTGTATTCTTCTACTTTCAACATTTCTGTATTCTTACATTTAAGATACATCTCTTATAAGTGGGTTTTATTGTTTCATATAGCCTGACATCTTAGTCTTTTAGTGATTGTCCTAAAGATTACAACATGTATCATTGACTTATTACAGTCTACTGAAAATATTTACTTTTACTATTTCCCTAACAATTCTAGGAACTTAGAACATCTGAACTTCACTTATCCTTCTGCTTTTTGCATTATTGCTCTGCATGTTTATTATACACTTTTTTTTTTTTTTTGACATGGAGTCTCACTCTGTTGCCCAGGCCGGAGTACAGTGCTACAATCTCGGCTCACTGCAACCTCCGACTCCTGGGTTCATGCAGTTCTCCTGCCTCAGCCTCCCAAGTGGCTGGGATTACAGGTGTGTGCCCCCATACCCAGCTAATTTTTGTGTTTTTAGTAGAGATGAGGTTTCACCATGTTGGGGAGGCTGGTCTTGAACTCCTGACCTCAAGTGATCCACCCGCATCTGCCTCCCAAAGTGCTGGGATTGTAGGCATTAGCCATCGTGCCGGCCTATTGTACACATTTTAATATTCATTAGATATTACTGCTTTGTACAGTCAATGTTTGTTTACACATGTATTTACTCTTTATGATGCTCTTCACTTTATGCTGCATTTCCATTCTTTCCTGTAGGTTAGGAACTTTTTAACTTTTTTTTTTGGCCTGTGTAACTTCTTTTAGTCCTTTTTTTTTTTTTTTTTTTTTTTGGTAAACGTCAGTTGTCAAATATACTTTGTATTTATCTGAAAATGTACTTGTTTTTGTTTTTGAAGGATATTGTTTCTGTGCATTAGATTCTAGATTCACAGTTACTTTCTTTCAGAAATTTGAAGATATTCCATTCTCTCTGCTTTCCAGTATTTTTGTTGCAAAGTTAGCAAAAATTTTTTATCTGTTTCTTTGAATATAATGTCTTTCTGTTTTGACTACTTTTAAGATTTAGTTTTGCCAAAGAACGAAACTGGAGGCATCATGCTACCCAACTTCAAGCTATACCACAGAGCTCCTGTAACCAAAATAACATGGTACTGGTACAAGAACAGAGACATACACCGATGGAACGGAATAGAGAACCTGGAAATAAGACCTCACACCTACAACTATCTGATTTTTGACAAACTTGACAAAAACAAGCAATGGGGAAAGGACTATTAAATGGTGCTGGGATAACTGGCTAGCCATATGCAGGTTGATTGAAACTAGACCCTTTCCTTACACCATATGCAAAAATTAAGATGAAATAAAACTAAAATATAACACCCCATACTATAAAAACCCTGGAAGACAACATAGGCAGTACCATTCAGGACATAGGCCTGGGCAAAGTTTCATGAGGAAGATGGCAAAAGCAATTGCAACAAAAGCAAAAATTGGCAAATGGGATCCAGTTAAATGAAAGAGCTTCTGCACAGCAAAAGTAACTATCAACAGAGTAAACAGACAACCCACAGAATGGGAGAAAATTTTTGCAAACTACATATCTGACAGAGGTCTAATATCCAGCATCTAGAAGAACTTAAAACACATTTACGAGGAAAAGAATCCATTAAAATGTGGGCAAAGGACATGAAGAGACATGTTTCAAAAGAAGACGTACTTGCGGGCAAGAATCAGATGAAATAAAGCTCAACATCACTGATCATTAGAGAGATGTAAATCAAAGCCACAATGACACCAGTCAGCATGGGTGTTATTAAGAAGTCAGAAAATCACAGATGCTGGCGAGGTTGTGGAGAAAAAGGAATGCTTATACGCAGTTGGTGGGAGTGTAAATTAGTTCAACTGTTGTGGAAGACTGTGTGGAAATTCCTCAAAGATCTAAAGATAGAAATACCATTCAACCCATAAATCTCATTAGTGGGTATATAACCAAAGGAATATAAATCACTCTATTATAAAGACACATGCACATGTATGTTCATTGCAGCACTCTTCACGGTAGCAGAGACATGGAATCAGTCTAAATGCCTGTCAATAATAGACTGGATAAAGAAAATGTGGTACATATATACCATGGAATACTATGCAGCCATTAAAAAGAACAAGATTATGTCCTTTGCGGGGACATGGATGAAGGTGGAAGCCATTATCCTCAGCAAACTAATGCAGGAAGAGAAAAGTCAAATACTGCATGCTCTCACTTATAAGTGGGAGCTGAATGATCTGAACACATAGAGGGGAACAACACACACTGGGGCCTAATTGAGGGTGGAGGGTGGTAGGAGGGAGAGGACCAGGAAAAATGACTAATAGGTACCAGGCTTAATACCTGGGTGATGAAATGATCTGTACAATAGACTCCCATGACACACATTTACTTATGTAACAATCCTGCACATGTACCCCTGAACTTAAAAGTTGAAAAAAAAAATTCAGTCTTGCCTTTGGTTTTTAGCATTTTTACTATGATATGCCTAGATGTGGCCTTTTTTTTAAGAAAAAAAGAAAAATCTTGCTGGGGTATATAGAATGCTTGAATCTTTGCCTTAACATTTTTCATTGAGTTTGGAAGATTCTTGACCATTTTTTCTTCATACTTTGCTTTTGTTCTATTCTCTATTGCCTCCTTTCTCGTACTGTACATGTATGTCTGCGTACCCTCCGCCACCTCCCCTTTTTTTGAGACAGGGTCTCACTCTGTCACCCAGACTGGAGTGCAATGGTACGATCATAGCTTACTGCATACTTGAACTCCTGGGCTCAAGCAGTCCTCTTGCCTCAGCCTCCTGAGTAGCTGGGGACTATAGGTGTGCGCCACTGTGTGCAGCGTATTTGTTTTAGAAAACCTTTTTTGTAGAGTTGGGGGTCTTGCTTTGTTGTCCAGGCTGGTATTGAACTCCTGGCTTCAAGGATCCTCCCTCGTCAGCCTCCTGAAGTGTTGGGATAACAGGTGTGAGCCACTTTGCCCAGCCCGTTAGTCATTTTTTAAAAAACGATGTCCCATTCATCTTTTGTATTCTTTTCTGTATTTTCTTTTTTTCTGCATTACGGTTTGACAGGTATAACTTTTCTGTATTTTCTGTCCTTGTTTTCTTTTTATGCTCTAGTAAGTGTATTTTCTATGAAACTTTGCAAATTATTAGCTTCTTAAAAATATGCCTAATCTGAGGCAGGAGAATGGCGTCAACCCGGGAGGCGGAGCTTGCAGTGAGCCGAGATCGTGCCACTGCACTCCAGCCTGGGCAACAGAGCGAAACTCTGTCTCAAAACAACAACAACAACAACAACAACAACAACACAAAACTGCCTAATCTGCTGTTAATATTATATTTAGCTCTTAATTTTACAAATTTGATTACTTTTTAAATATTCAAATTTTATCATTAAATTCCATCTTTATTTTGTGTTTTCCTGTATTTTCTTGAATAACTGTTATAGCCTTCTGTCTGTAATTTTAAAATTTATTCCCCTTTGGGTCTGACATTGATAATTTGTGACTTTTTCTTCTTTGATCAGTCTTAACAAAATGTTGACTTTAATAGTCTCTCCAAGAACCAACTTTTGTTTTTTTCCTGAAGTTTTATATCTTTGTTTCATTGATTTACTTGTTTGTCTTCTTGTATACTCTCTCGGCGTGCGTTACATTTTAATTAAATGCCAGACATTGTGTTTGACAATTTTATAGGTTATCTGAATGATCATTTGCTGTAGAGGATGGACGGCTTAGCCACTCCTGTGTTAGGCAGATAGAATGCAGTTAGATCACCTTAATCACAAAACTTTTGAATACTGCAGTTTGCTATGCAGTCTTTCCTTAGCTTCTTATCTGTGTAGCTTCACAATTCAGTAGATATCGCTGGAGGGAAATAGTTAAGCCTGTGGTTCAGTTCTCTGTTTCTTTTTTATGACCAGAATCCTGGCCCTTCAAGTCTCTTAATATTTGTCTCACCAGCTTTGTGAGACTGTTGAAAGTTCTGCTGGATTGTTTTCCTCCTGAGAATTCATGCAAAAGACCCAGACAGAAGACCTGGGTCTTTTGCATGAATTCTCAGCCTCTTGCTTTGTGACCACAATATGCAAATAAATAGTTTGAGAGAAAAAGTGGCAGAGTGGCTGCTGAATGGCACCTTCTTTAGGATTCTATTTGTTTTGAAATGTTGGTTCCTTAAGTTCTGATTGCCTCCATATTGAGCTCTTGGATGATTTAAACAGACTGATCTTTTTATTTTTTATTTTTTGTGTTTTATTTGTCTTTTCTAGCAGTTCTTGATTGGAGATTATTCTGCTGCAAGTAATGTGACAAGTATTATAACTATTATTAAAAAACAAAATAATGAACAATATAGGAAAAAGTCTTTACTCCCTCATACCTCCATAATCTCACTGTTCTTGGTAGTAACCATTGCTGTTGTGTATATATATGTATAATGTACATGCATTTGTATAACACATAAGTATACGTTTACCTATGTGTAACATACAGTAATGTTAGCATAATGACATTTTGGTCAGTCCTATAGGATTATAATGCCATATTTTTATTGTGTCTTTTCTGTATTTAGATATGTTTAGATACACAAATACCACTGTGTGAAAATTGCCTATAGTATTCAGTATAGCAATATGCTGTACAGGTTGGTAGCCTAGAAACAATATGCTATACCATGTGTAGTAGGCCATGGCAGTTAGATTTGTGTATGTATACTTTATGATGTCTGCACAATGATGAAATTGCCTGAAGATAAATTTCTTAGAATGTATCCCTGTCGTTAAGCAATGCATAAGATTAAGTTTTCTAATAGGCAATGTATATTTTCACAGAGGGGAAAAATACAACATATTAAAAAAGGTACTCTTTAATTAAAAAGATCCCTTTCTGCCACTGGCTCTCAGTTTCCCAGTTAGACTTTCTAGGGTCAATACCAATTCTGTATATATTGGTTTATTTAAGGGATGACATTTTTAGAACCTGTCTTATCCCAGGCACTATTTTAGGTGGTTAGGATACATGAATAAACAGATTAAGATGACTGTTGCTCTGTAGGTTATATTTTGCAGAGAGGAGACATACAATAAATATGATACATACATAAATAGTATAGAATTCTAGAAGGTAGTAAGTGCTATGGCAAAAAGAAAAGAGCAATCAGACAGGATAGTAGGGCACTGGAGAGGAGAAGTTGCCATTTTAAATAGGGTAGTCAGTATAGGACTCATTGAGTGACATTTTTGTGCAAAGACTTGAAGATAAGTATATGGTAATACACACAGTGTGTTTGTGTACTTCTGAATGTTTAAACTGCCTTGCTCTTTTAAGTAACCACATAGTTTTCTATTGGATGTACATAATTTATTTACTCTTTAGTGATTAAGTTTTATCTAGTCTTATGATACTGTAAACAGCCACAGTGATGATCCTTTCTTGTGTTATGTGAGCACATGCACATCTTGTATTTTGCCTGCTTTCATATATTTTGTACTGTCAAATCTCAGTCTTTGTATATTTCTTTGATTTTTGGTTTTTGTTTTGGCTTTTAAGCAAAGATTATCATATATCAGTATTTTATATATAAACCTATAGTTTTTATAGTATTAAAAAAATACTTTAACTTGTTTAACATTTAATTTGGCATGGTTTGGGATTCTAAGTTGATAACTTTCCAAGCATCTTACTGAATGTTGTATCAGTATTTGTTGAATATTTTTTGTGATATGCTTTCTATTATACATTAAATTTTTATATGTGATAAGATCCTTTTTTAGGATTTATGTTTATGTGCTAGTTGAAAGCTCTTCTACTTGTTGGGTGACTTGGAGGCAGGGCTTTACCAGGAAAAAGAAGAAAGAGAGGTAATATAATGTTTTGACTACAGGAAAGACTTCTGTTGTTGGTTGGGGCAAGTAATGTCAAGCAGTTTGTTGCTTTTGAAAATCAATTGACTGCTTTGAGGTTGATTTCTTTGTGAATAACTTTAAGTTATATGTAAGACATTCCTAAATTTCTGAAATTGTGTTAAAGATGAGGATCATAGCAAACTATCAAGAAGAAAATAAGGAATTTTAAAAAAGAATTCCATAGATGTGTGATTCATCTAAAGAAAAATTACTAATCAAAAGAGACTAGAATTTATCATCAAAATATTTGCAAGCAAAGGAAAGATGCAAAGCTAGTAAGTTAAATCTGAAATATGTCAATAGAATATGAGAGTTGAATTAAGAAATTATTTAGAAATAACTTATTTCCTGAGTTATTTTTTGCAATCGAGTTATCTTACTTGAAAACAATGGCCACCAAAAATTTACAACTAATGGAGTCTGAGTAGGCTTTGCATAAAGAAGTAGGAAGGAATTAAAATTTTGTTACAATATTCGTGATGGTCTTGTTTTTCATGTAAGCGCTGACAGACTTAGTTAAGATTGTTCAAGAAAGTGGTTGGAATGGCTTTCCTGGTATTGATAGTCTCTTCTAGTCTGCTTTCACTAGAGTTCCAAACCATGGGGTTCCCTGAGGCCCTTTCAAGAAGTCTGTAAAGTCAAATAATTTTCATAATACTAATGTATTATTTGCCATTTTCAGTTTCTTGACATTTGCACTATGGTACAAAGCAAAAACTTCTGATGCCTTAGTATAAATTAATGTAGTAATTGCATTAATGTACCAAATGATTCATTATCAAGTAATTTATGCATCAAACTATACTAGTAATTGTTGTATTCTTTGCTGCCACATAGCTGCAGAAAAAAATAAAGCCAGTTCCAGTTAAGAATGTCTTTGATAGAACAGTAAAAATTATTAATTTTATTAAGTTGCAGTCCTTGAGTATATGTCCTTTTAGTATTTTGTGGGTTGAAATGGAAAGAACACATAATACTATATTCTGACGTGCAATGTCTTGAGAAAAAATAGTTATGCGATTATTGAGTCGATATCTGAACTAGCCACTTCTTTTATGACACATTAGTTTTACTTTGAAAAATAGCTGACAAACTATGGTTATTTAGATTTCAGTATATGGCAGACATTTTCTTGAAAAAGAACAAAGTGAGCCTGTCACTTCAAGGAAAAAAACTGGCAGTATCTGGTGCTTTCAGGCGATATTTAAATTTTCAAGCAAAAATTAGAATTTTGGAGGCTTTGTATCTACAACTGTGACTTTGAGGGTTTCCCAAATACTTAATGACTTTTCTGATGAGATTGATGGTTGTCAGAAGTCTCTGAGACCAACCTCAGGTTCAGTGATTTTCTAGAAGGACTAACAGAACATGGCAAAACTGTTATACTCACAGTAATAATAGTTTATTATAGCAAAAGGCTACAGTTTAAAATCAGCAATTGAAAAAGGTGCATAGGGCAGAGTCCAGCAGAGATTAGATGCAAGCTTCCAGTTGCCCTCTCCCAGGGGAGTCATAGAGACAGTGCTTAACTGCCGCTCACAGCAGCAGTATGTGACAACACGTGTCAAGTATTGCCAACCAGGAGAACTCACCTGAGTCTTGGTGTCCAGGGATCTTTTGGGTATCTTTCATGAAGGTCTAAAGTGCCCACGTCGCTGACTTTAGTAACTCCATCTGTTTGACTCCAGAGGTCAGACTGATACTGCATGGACCAAGGCCCCTCCCGTAAATTACATTGTTAGCATAATCTGTATGGTGTGGCTGAAGGCTTTCAGTAAACAAAGGCACTCTTATTAAGCAGGATATTTCAAGGGCCTTGGGTGGGCAAGGGCCAAACCTTCCTTTGGAATATCCAAGGTGTGGACAACCTAGCCCTACTGGGTTATTAATCCTTTACTGCATACTGGTGATATATAAGGAATGTAATGTTTTGATAATGTAAATGAAATGTGTTAATATCTGGAAGATCTGCATAGCTCAGTGAAGCAGTATTTTTCAGATGATCACTGCATGATGCAACCTATGATATGCATCAGTAAATGATAGACCAGTGGATTTTAATGGAATAGAATACAAATGTTATTATACATGTGGTCAGATTCTACATTTCATTTAACTTATATGTAACTTTAGTAAGTAATAGTCTTCATATACTATGAATCAAAGCAATATAGAGCAACATATTGAATGCAGAAACAGATAAGGAAATCTGTCTTCTGTTAAGTTAGATAGTAAACATTTGTACAAAAATGTAAATTGGTGCTGCTCTTCTCATAAATTTTTTTTGGAGAATATATTTTACGTGAAGAATATGTTATCTGTATTAACAGTTACTCCATTATGTGTAATTTTTAAATTAATTTCTAAACATTTAAGATTTTCTGAGTTCTAATTTCTAATACAGTAAATATTGACAGCTATAACCTACAGAAACAGAAGTTCTTTAGGGGCCAGCAATTTTTTAAACATCTGAACGGGCCTAGAGACCTTTTCGCTGGGTCTCCTCTTTCTGGGCTAGAGGTTATCGAAGGATGAGATGAACAACTAAACTAAGGGAAAGATAGTTTGCAACTGGAATCTCAGGGATATCTGGAACTGGGGATGTGAATGCTACCATGAATCTTCATTTCCATCTCTTCATCTGTTTGGTCCTCTCAGCTTCATTCTTTCTTCTTATACACAGGCTCCTCAGAGTACTGGAAAATCTAGCAAACAAATAAACAAGAACTCTTTCTTTGATCTTGCATCCTAAATCTTTCGCTATCAGAGAAAAAAACAGATTTGTTAGTATGAGTGTGAAAAAAATACTTGAATACTTGGTTCAGGTGTTTATCAGGGAATGATCAACTATGAGTAGGCCAGATTATTGAAGGAAAATGATACTTTCCCTGTTGGAATTGAGGGAGAAAGAGTTCCCACAGAGAGACTGTGAGTGTTTTCCCTGAATTGGATGGGGGCTGAACAGGCGTCTTACAAATCATCTTTGAGTGTCAACAAGTTGTATGGACTGCAGATATTATGGGAGTTCAGAGTAGGGGAGGTTAGGGTGTTTAAGTGAGGAAACTCACATTTCTATCTCAGTTTTTGATGTGATCAAATGGCATTTTATACTGGGTGAGTTTAGGTTTAAAATATCACTTTGGGCACAGGTGGTCTTTAGCTAATCTAATATCTTTGAGGTGGCTGAATTTTGGCTCTCCCTGGAGGTATAGGTATTCCTTGAAGGGAAGAGTGATAGATAACTACCACAGGGTAGGAGGACAATGCAAATAGTTTGGAAGCCGGGCTTTACCAAGAAAAAGAGGAAGGAGAGGTGAGAAATAGCTTGAATGGGAGAGTGAAAGTCATTCTCCAGTTTGGCTAGATACGTGGATTTCAGTAAGCGATTATGACTTTTGAATTTCCACATAGGCAGGACTTTTTGACAGATTTGTTTTCCTCATCTCCCACCTGCCAGTGTCTACTGTGTTCAAGGCATTGTGCCATGTGCTAGACTAGAGAATTGTGAAGATGACTTAAATGTCCCCCAGTATCCACAAGTAACTTTTTACTTTAATGGAGAAAACAGATATGAAAATGATTGATTATATTACAGATAAGATAAAATGCCAAAAAAAGTCTAAGAAATCAGCTGACATCATGGTAGACGATTAATTATGACCAAGGGATCAACGAGATGACATTTAAGGTAGACACTGAAGAATGAGAGAGATTTCTGTAGACAAAGGGATGGCAATAAGGACATTGCAAATTAAAGGAGTAGTGTGATCAAAGAGGTCTGAAAATGCATGTTTGGGCCGGGCGTGGTGGCTCATGCCTGCAATCCCAGCACTTTGGGAGGCTGAGGTGGGCGGATCACCTGAGGTCAGGAGTTTGAGACTACCCTGACCAACATGGAGAAACCCTGTCTCTACTAAAAATACAAAAAATGAGCCAGGCGTGGTGGCACATGCCTGTAATCCCAGCTATTCGGGAGGCTGAGGCAGGCAGGAGAATCGCTTGAACCCGGGACGTGGAGGTTGCGGTGAGTCAAGATCATGCCATTGCACTCCAGCCTGGGCAACAAGAGCAAAACTCTGTCTCAAAAAGATAAAAAATAAAAAATAAAAAAATAAAGAAAGTGCATGTTTGGTTTGTTTAAGAAATGACAGGTAGTCCAGTGGAGACTGGCCAAGCCATAAAGATTACTGAATGCTGTACCAGTTGTTTAGATTTAATTCTGTAAGCAATGGGACTTTTTCAGTTTTGATTTGTGTTTTGGGCATAGTTGTTTCTGGAGATAATATTATAGATGTATAAAGAGATGGAAGACCAGTAAAACTGAAAAATCTGTTGTAGGAATAGAGAACATAATGGGTGGGAAAGGAAATGACAGGATGGAAGAAGAGAGCATAGGAAGGTGGAATTGTTAAGGCTTTTTGACTGATTGGATATGAGGGAAACAGGTAGAGAAATAGGTCAGAGATACTGATGAGAAGTTTCCATCAGGTTGAATTGTATTTAATTTTTTGGTCTTAAAAAAACCAGCAATAGATGGTTCAGCTCATAGCTTGGGTATCTGGATTGATGTTAATGGCAAGTAAAGATGAGAAACAGGAGAGAGAGGAGAGGTAAAGAGAAAGGCTGTGGGACGAATGATGATGGTCATTTAAAAAAAAAAAGTGTTGAGTTTTAGTTGTTAGTTGAGATATCCAGATTGAAAGATCCAGTTGCTGGTGGAAATGCAATTCTGTCTTTAAGGTTGATGGGAGAGTTAGGAATTATTTACATTGTTAAATGTTCTTTATTGTGATACTGGATGAGTATGACAGATATGTGACCTAGATTATTAGATAAGTGACACCCCCATCTTTAAGTTTGTTTCAGAGATCCTAAATAAAACATTTTTGAATATTACACCTTTTTGAGGGCATTATATTTGGGAGCTAGGCAGAATGTGGTTTCCAAATTATGTAAAGTATAAAGAGTTTTATATTAAAATGGATATATTATTCTGATTGTCATATTCACTATGTTCATAAAGAAGTACAGAATTACAACACAGCTTCTATTAATGGCTAACAGGCAAAAACTTCAGTCTTAGTCCATTTTCTATTACTGCAGCAGAATATCTGAAACTGGTAATTTATTTTAAAAAACTATTTCTTACAATTTTGGATGCTGGGAAGTCCAAGACTGGGCAGGGGGGTTGGCATCTAGCAAGGGCCTTCTAGCTACATAATAACAAAGTGCAGGTAGTCACATGGTAAGAGGGCAGGAGAATGCCAGCTCAGGTCTCTCCTTCTCTTATAAAAACCACCAATCCCATCATGGGGGCCTGCCCCACCCTGATGACCCTATCTAATCCTCACAAAGGTAGGCCTCACAAAGGCCCTACCACCAAATACTGTCAATGTATGAATTTGGGGATTAAGTTTCTAACAAAGGAAATTTGGGGGCACATTCAAATCATAGCAGCTTCCTTTTAAAAAAATCTTGTGTTTTTAAAGAAGTGTGCTATCTTTTGGGTTTTTCAGAGACCCTCTCAACCTAGAGTAAATATAGAATACTATTTAATAATCTCATATTAGAATGTTTAATATGGGAGAGGGTTGAACAACTGCTGTCAAGATTATTTTATGTGCTATTAAATAAGTAGCACCTTGCGAATAATAGTCTGCTTCCATTATTTTTGTATATTAGTAATCAAGCAGATTAAATACTTCCTAGGAATTATGGTTATTTGTTTTACTTCAAAAACAATGTTGATTTAAAGTACACTGCAGGTTTAAAAAGTTTAATTTCAAAAAATGGATATATAGGCTGATTCTTTTTTCTAATTATTGAAAGTCATTTGGAATTGCAATAAAAATTTTTCTGTGGTTTCTTCAGTAATTTGTAATTCAATTTATTAGTAATTTCCTTAAAATTAAAAAAATTATGGACACTATGTTAAAATCTGTATACCAAATAATACATTTTAAACTCACATTTTTGGATAATTTTCAGAACTATTAATGTTTAACTTTTTTGTGCTAGAATGCTCTGAGACCAGATCTGTTTGTTTGAAAAAGCAAATTACAAGTATAAATTTAAAGCAAATATGACGAATGGTTAGCTTGTGCCTTGGCTTCTGTTGCCTGTAATAGATGTGCCCTCTAAGATGTTCTTGCTATGGTACCTGGAAGATAATTCCTTCTTTGCCTGGTTACTATAGTTATCTTATTGAGGGCCAGTTGGTTTCAGAATGCATTTTAAAAAATGGGAAAAATAGCTGCGGAAAAAATAATTAGCTTTTCAAAAGACAGTAATGGATAGCTTATTCCGATTCCCAGGTTATCAGTAGATAAACAGTTAAATGGACAATCACAAAAATACTTCACAACCAAAGGTTCTTCTTCATTTTTCTCATCCTTAAATTTTCTACCTCTCTCCCTCAAATTTCATGGCATTTTATTTCATGTGTCAGGATTGCCACTATCTAAATATCTTTCTTCTCTGAAATTTCTAGACCTGTCCCACAGAGACTTGAGGATTGAGAACATGGAGAGTGGGAGTAAGGAAGTTGCATGGTCCTTCCTGTATCTGTTTTTAATACCCTGTGCCTCAGCATCCCTGTTTTGGGGGAACTTCCTGCACATAAACTGTCAAAGCCTCTCACAATTATAGATACAAAGCTGTTTTCTGGTAACTTGTGGACTCACTGATTTCTTCTTGCATGTGAGAAAAAGAGCTTTGGAAATTAAAGCGGCTCTAAAGTGCCAAGAATCTGAGTTTATGGGAAAAGTCACCTGACTCTGCTACTTGGATACCACATTTTTTTTTTTTTTGGAGAAAGAGTCTTGCTCTGTTGCCCAGGCCAGAGTGCAGTGGCGAAATCTCGGCTTACTGCAACCTCTACCTCCTGGATTCAAGCAGTTCTCATGCCTCAGACTCCCGAGTAGCTGGGATTACAGGCGTGTGCCACTACACCCAGCTAATTTTTGTATTTTTAGTAGAGTTGGGGTTTTACCTTGTTGGCCAGGCTGTTCTTAAGTTCCCGGCCTCATGTGATCTGCCCGCCTTAACCTCCCAAAGTGCTGGGATTACAGGTGTGAGCCACTGCGCCTGGCGGATACCACAAATTTGTGGTAACTTCATCTGTACTTTTATTACATGGTGCTCTTATTGCAGTCCTTTTGTTTGTGCGTTCCAGACTTTTAATAAATTCCCCTTAGCTGCTCTGCTTTGCCATTTTACCACACTGCTTAAGGCCTATCTTCTTCCTCATTAGATGGCCTCGATTACTACTTTATAGGGAGAATCAAAATTACATATTTTCAAGTTCACTCATCACTTTGCTTATTTGTGACCTTAAGGAATTAGACTAGATATCTGAAAGCTTTTTCCATCCTAGATATTTCATCTTAAAATAATTTTCTCTACTTTTTACTGTGAGGCAACTGTGTATTTGTTCTTTTGCCATTCTATGATTGTAGACATTGTGTTTCCACCTATCTTTTGTCTCTTCTGTTTTTAAGGAAAAGATGACCTTTTTCCCTAATAAGACTGTTTTTCTCATGCTCTTTTTTTTTTTTTTCTTTTGAGACAGAATCTTGCTCTGTTGCCCAGGCTGAAGTGCAGTGGCACGATCTCAGCTCACTGCAGCCTCGGCCACCTGGGTTCAATTAATTCTCATGCCTCAGCCTCCTGAGTAGCTGTGATTACAGGCGCATACCACCACACTCAGCTAATTTTTGTACATTTTGTAGAGACAGGGTTTTGCCATGTTGCCCAGGCTGGTCTTGAACTCATGAGCTCAAGCAATCCGCCCACCTCAGCATCCCAAATTTCTATAATTACAGGCTTGAGCCACCGCGCCCAGCCGTTTTTCTCACACTCTTAAGCTCATTTTTTCCCATTTTTTTTAGAGCTTTGCCTTTTCAAATATCCCCCCTTTATAATAGATAGTTGTAATGAAACAGTTTTCTAAAGGATATTTAGAGTAATGGTACTACCATTAGGTTGAGATTCATTGCTGGGCTAAAATGTTCTTGGCATTTTGAAGCGTGCTTTCATATATCATATAGAAATCCAGAGAACAGTTCTACCTGAGCTTCTATTATAACCCCCACAAATATTTGTGGATTCCCTACTGTATGCAAAGCACTGTACTAAGAATGCTATAGGGTATATAAAAATCAGCAAAATTTGGCCTGTTAGAGGAGGAGTTTATGGCCAGTATAGGGGAACATGTAAAAAAGTACAATGAGATAGAGGAAGATTGATATCTAAATGCAGAGGATTTTAAAGGAGGGTGTATTAGTTTGTCTTCACACTGCTATAAATAACTACCTGAGACTGGGTAGTTTATAAAGAAGCAATGTTTAATTGACTCAGTTCTGCAGGCTGTACAGGAAGCATGGCGGGGGAGGCCTCAGGAATCTTACAGTCATGGTAGAAGGCAAAGGGGAAGCAAGCACATCTTCACATAGTGACAGGAGAAACAGCATGTGAAGGGGAATGTGCCACACACTTTTAAACCATCAGATCTTGTGAGAACTCACTATCACGAGAGCAGCAAGGGGAAATTTGCTCCCATGATCCAATCACCTCCTACCAGGTCCCCTCCCAACACTGGGAATTACAATTCAACATGAGATTTGGATGGGGGTACAGAGCCAAACCATATCATTCTCCCCAGCCTCTCCCAAATCTCATATTATTCTCACATGTCAAGACACAATCATGCCTTCCCAACAGTCCCCCAAAGTCTTAACTCCTTCCAGCATTAACTGAAAAGTCCAAAGTCTTATCTGAGACAAGGCAAGTCCATTCCACCTATGAGCCTGTAAAATAAAAAACAAGTTAGTTTCTTCCAAGGTACAATGAGAGTACAGGGAATGGGTAAATGTTCCTGTTGCAAATGGGAGAAATAGCCAAAACAAATGGGCTACAGGCCCCATGCAAGTCTGAAACCCAACAGGGAAGTCATGAAATCTTCAAGCTCCCATATCCTTTGATTCCATGTCTCACATCCAGGGCACGCTGATGCAAGGGGTGGCCTCCTAAGGCCTTTGGCAGCTCTGCCCCATGGCTCTGCAGGATACAGCCCCCACAGCTGCTTTAATGGGCTGGCATTGAGTGCCTGCAACTTTTGCAGGCACACAGTGCAAGCTGTCAGTGGATCTACCCTTGTGGGGTCTGGAGGATGATGGCCCTCTTCCCACAGCTCCATTAGGCAGTGCCCTAGTGGAGACTCTCTGTGAGGGTTCCAGTCCCACATTTCCCCCTCTGCACTGCCCTAGTAGAGGGTCTCCATGAGGACTCTGGCCCTGTAGCGGAGTCCTGCCTGGACATCCAGGCATTTCCATACATCCTCTGAAATCAAGGTGGAGGCTCCCAAACCTCTTCTCTTGCCTTTTGTGCACCCACAGACCCAACACCATGTGGAATCCACCAAGGCTTGTGGCTTGCACCCTCTGAAGCCATGGCCCGAGTTGTACATTGGCCCCTTTTAGCCACAGCCACAGCTGGAGCTGGAGTGGCTGGGATGCGGGGCACCAAGTCCCAAGGATGCAGTTAGCAGCAGGGCTCTGGGACTGGCCCATGAAACCATTTTTCCCTCTTAGACCTCCAGGCCTGTACTGGAGGGGCAGCCATGAAGATCTCTGACATGCCCTGGGAGACATTTTCCCCATTGTCTTGGCTATTAGCATTTGGCTTCTTGTTATTTATGTAAATTTCTACCACTGGCTTGAATTTCTCCCCCCAAAATGGGTTTGTCTTTTCTATAGCATGGTGAGGCTGCAAAATTTCCAAACTTTTATGTTCTGCTTCCCTTTTAAACATAAGTTCCAATTTCACACCGTCTCTTCATACATATGAGCATATACTTTTAGAAAAATACCAGGTCACATCTTGAATGCTTTGCTGCTTAGAAATTTCTTCTGCCAGGTACCCTAAATCATCTCTCAAGTTCAAAGTTCCATACATCTCTAGGGCAGGGGCACAATGCTGCCAGTCTCTGCTAAATCATAGCAAGAGTGACCGTTACTCTGGTTCCCAATAAGTTCCTCATCTCCATCTGAGACCACATCAGCCTGGATTTTCACTGTCCATATCACTGTCAGCATTTTGGTTACAATTATTGAGCAAGTCTCTAGGAAGTCTGAAACTTTCCCACATCTTCTGTCTTCTTCTGATCTCTCCAAACTGTTCCAGCCTCTGCCTATTACCCAGTTCCAAAGTTGCTTCTGCATTTTGAGGTATCTTTATAGCAGTGCCACACTTCTCTGGTACCAGTTTTCTGTATTACCTTGTTCTCATACTGCTACAAAGAACTACCTGAGACTGGGTAATTTATGAAGAAAAGGTTTAATTGACTCACAGTTCTGTAGGCTGTACAGGAGTCATGGCTGGAGAGGCCTCAGAAGACTTACAATCATGGCAGAAGGCAAAGGGGAAGCAAGAACATCTTCACATGGTGACAGGAGACAGAGAGAGTAAAGTGGGGAAGCGCCACACACTTTTAAACCATCAGATCTTGCGGGAATTTACTATCACGAGAACAGCAAGGGGAAATTTGCCTTCATGATTCAATCACCTACCACCAGGTCCCTCCCCCAACACTGGGAGTAACAGTTCAACATGAGATTTGGGTAGGGATACAGAGCAACCATATCAGAGGGAGGTAATGTATTCAGTTAAAGGGGATTAAAAATGGCTTTATGCAAGTATACTTTTCCCTGTAACTCAACATAGTGTTTTGACAAGCAAAAATTGAATGATGACTGCATTGTGAAAAGACAAGGTGAAAACAAGGTAGTATTTGTAGAGTTACACATAGTCTGATTTGGCTAGAAGGGAGGCTGGAGCCTTTCATGGTGGCTTTTGAATGCCATGGTGAATAGTTTGTGCTTTATTTGTTATTGAATAGCAATTTGTACACTTCTGAGCTATTAGAGTGAAATGATTAAGCCTGTGGTTTAGGAAGAAAGAGCCTATTAGGGAGATAAATCTTTCCCTAGTTGTAGGAAGGGTTGGAACAGTATGATATGGAGAGGGTAGTAATGAATGAAGGAATGGAAAACGAGAATAATTTCAATGATACTGGAGGTGCAGTATACAAGTTGGCAGTAGTTTTATGTCTAGGAAGATAAGAAGTGTTTAGGAAAAACTCCCAAATTGTTTTTCCTCTGCTCTTACACCACAACAATCAACACAGAGGACTTCTGTGTCCAAATGCACAGTATTTCTCCCTGCCAAATAAGCAATCAGTTCTACAGTGAACACCAGCTAATTGGCTTTCAATTCATTTCTGTCACTACCTAGAGATAGTGTCAGATTCCCAACGGCTGAGGGCTCAGTCTTGGGGTCTGGGCCCTCCTTCCCACTGGTTGTAAGTCTGCATCTCTGGAACTTCTACCAGATGGCTTCGAGTTGGGGTTTCCACAACCCCCTCTTTGGGTTGGATTAATTTGCTAGAGTTACTCACAGAACTCAGAGAAACACGTTTACTGGTTTATTATGAAGGATATGTTAAAGGATACAAGTAAACAGCCATATGGCAAGGTCTGGATGCCATAGGGCAAGGTCTGGAAGGGTCCCAAATGTAGGAGCCTCTGTTTCCGTGGAGTTAGGGTATGCCACTCTCCCAGCAAGTGGATGAGTTCTTGCTCACCTTCTTGCCCACCTTCACATGTTCAGCTGTGAGGCCAGTCCTTTTGGTTTTTTATGGAATTTTCATGACATCAGCACTTTCCCCAATGGGAAGACCCCCCATAGGACCCTCTCTGAAATGAGGGCATTATGACCCACAGTCAGAAAAGTGGAGGAAAATTAGAGTCCTGCCTTGGTGCAGATGAAAGGAGGGCAGGAGAAGGTCAGGGATATTGTTTCCTGAGGCCTAACACACCAAACATTGTAATAAAAGACTATAACAAGGGTGATATAGCTTGAATGTGTGTCCCCTCCAAATCTCGTATTTAATGAGACCTCCATTGTTGGAAGTGGGGTCTGGTGGGTGTTTGGATCATAAAGGTGGATCCCTCATGAATGGTTTGCTGCCCTCCCCTGTGGTAATGAGTTCAAGTGAGAGCTGGTTGTTTAAAGCAGGGGTCCTCAACCCCTACTCCATGGACCGGTACCTGTCTATGGCCTGTTAGGAGCTGGGCCACACAGCAGGAGGTGTGAGCCACAGGCAAGCGAGCATTACTGTCTGAGCTCCACCTTCTGATCAGCAGAGCTTAGATCAGCAGCAGCATTAGATTTTCACAGGAGCGCAAACCCTATTGTGAACTCCTCACGTGAGGGATATAGGTTGTGTGCTCCTTATGAGAATCTAATGGTTGATGATCTGAGCTGAAACAGTTTCATCCTGAAATCATCTTCCCTGACCCCTTGTCTGTGGAAAAATTGTCTTCCACTAAATCAGTCAGTCCCTGGTGCCGGAGGTTGGGGACTACTGGTTTAAAGGAGCCTGGCTCCTCCCCCCTTCTCTTGCTCTCTCTGGTCATGTGATGTGCTAGCTCTCCCTTTGCCTTCTGCCATGAGTAAAAGCTTCCTGAGGCCTCACTGAAAGCAGATTCCAGCACCATGCTTCCTCTATAGTCCTGCAGAACCATGAGCCGCAATAAACCACTTTTCTTTACCAATTACCCAGTCTCAAGACAGACTAACACAAAGGGCTATGGGAGTTATAAGCCAGGAACTGTGGACGAAAACCTATTTTTAAAAATATAGATATATAAACACAACCACATACATAAATAAAATAACACCACAAGAAGGAATCAAAGTTGCTTTTGAAATTCCAGGTCTGGACACTAGGAAGGATGCTGGTGTTATTAATAAAGAGGAAGAGAAGTGTGAGAGTGTCTGTGTGTTTGTGGAGATATTTGCTAATTTTTTAAGATGTTGATATATTCACCTTAAGGTGAAGATTCTTGGGAGAGCTTTGTTAATTTAAGCCTGGCGTTTAGGAAGGAAGTTAGATTTAGAGAGGGAAATTTGGGGATTGCTCTCATAGAGGTTATAATTTGAGCTGATGGATAACTGATATTTCCATGACTGTGAATAAATACAGAAATGGAAAATTCTGAGGAAAAGGCACGTAGAAAATGCCTTAGTTTTAGGATGACTTTTGAGTAAATTGTGTAATATTTCACCCTTATTTTTTTAAAAAAGTTAAATAGGAGAAACACTTTGAGAAAGCATAGAGGGAGAAAACTAATGCCTTAAAACATTGCCTAACGCATAATAGGAGCTTAAAAAAATCTTTGTTGAATGAATAATTGTAACTTGTTTGGGATATAAGCCTATGTATAGTAGAAAAATGGGCATATTGTGGAGAACTTTTGAGGGAGAGAGTGGATAATGCCTGTTCCCCTGCCCTGTGCTCATAGGGTTATTGCTGATACCAGATGAAAGGACAGATCTGAGAATATTTTGAACTTTTAAAATGTTCTTTGAGGCATATTTCAGTTTGAGGAACTGAAAGAAATTCCATAAGTAAGGTAGTATGTCTGTATTCAGCAAGTAAGGTAACATGTCTGCATATAAGCTTATATTCTTTCCATTTTATTTGGTGGGAATTAGATTTGTAAAGTATATTGTAAAGAATGTTTAGGGTATTGTTATGGCTATATATCTTTTGATAAGTCAATTCTTTTTTTTTTTGCCTGTGCTTTTTCCCACTGCCTGTTATATTTTTCTCACTTTCCTTCTCAGTCCCTCACTTTTTCCAAGTCAGTTGCCATTCATCTTTTAGGTCTCAGTTTAGCCATCAGTTCTTTCAGGAAATGTATGCTAAAATTCTAAGACTGAGACAGGTATTTTTTTGTATCCCTGTGTATCCTCCTACTTACTATACCAGATTACAGTTGCTTAATTTGTCTGTCTTCTCCACTAGAACCTAAACTTTCCTGTCATGGTGTTCTGTCGTATTTACTGTTATATTCTACCATGTAGCACAATGCTTGGCACATAGTTTGTTGGAGATGAACTAAATAAGAGACAATGTTAGACTAAAGTTTACTTTTAACCTTCAGACGTAGTGATTTCTTATCTTCATGTGCTGAATGGTATGATACTATAATTGTTGAAGTTCTAAGAAAAACCCAACTATAAGAATTGATACTGTTTTGAGGATTTAAAGAACACAGATACAAGAGATTGAAAATGTGCTGTAGGTACTAATACTAGCCTCCTGCTAGTAGGTATTGTGCTAGCCTTCCCTCCCTTTTCCTCCTCTCTTTCAACATTTGATCAGTGCATAACATTTCTTGGAGAGGTGTGGTTTTTTTTCTTCCCTTCGTTATCTGTTTACTAGGGTGATGGGAGTTAAAGGTAGTAAAAACTTCACAATCATGGTTGAGTGCATTTCAGTGTAAACTTTGTATTCTCAACCTTTTGTATGTTAGTCTTTTAGTGAATTTTGGGTGGACAGAGTGTATGATAGTGCTGTTTCTTTAGAAATGCTCTCTCGAAACTAAAACCTCTTGGATTCTGTAAATATGTTACCTGTTGAAAAAGGAAACAGCATTTCTGCCCTTACTTTGAACTAACTTGATCTGAGATAAATACATACACACATGCACGCATGTGCACACACACATACATATGCACTCTAGTTATCTGGTTATATACAAATATACCCAAGAATACCTAATATAAACACGCCCTCTTCTCCCCTTCCTCAAGTTTAAGTGATGTGTAGTTGGTCTAAGGGGTACTACAGCTGTTTTGCTTAGCCTAGTGGTTGTTCAAGTGAATTTACCAGTGACCCAATTTTAGTCTCTATCATAGTGATTTGAAAAAAAAGGCCAAGTAAAGTCACTTAGTATGAGATAAATTTTCTTTACTTTCCTCTTCACTTTAAGAAATCAGTTGCTTTTTTAATTTTTTTATTTTTTTTTAACCTTTAGCAGACTGTATTAGTTCATTCTCATGATGCTAACAAAGACAAACCCGAGATGGGGTCACTTATAAAGGAAAGAGGCTTAATTGACTCATAGTTCCGCAGGGCTGGGGAGGCCTCAGGAAACTTACAATCATGGCGGAAGGGGAAGCAAACATGTCCTTCTTCACATGGTGTCATCAAGGAGAAGTACTGAGCAAAAGGGGGAAAAGCCCCTTATAAAACCATTAGATCTCGTGAGAACTCACTATCACAATAACAGCAGCATGGGGGTAACTGCCCCCATAATTCAGTTACTTCCCACCGGGTCGGGTCCCACCCACAACATGTGGGGATTATGGAAACTACAATTCAAGATGAGATTTGGGTGGAGACACAGCCAAACCATATCACAGACAGTAAGAATATATTTGTTACAAATAAATATGGGAGCTTAAGAAGATTTTTATGTTTTAGCAAATGCATACCAACTTGAAATCACCAATTTAGTTTTAGAAGACACAAGCGTGTGTAACAAAGTCTGATTAGCATTTTGAGGCTTGTAGAATAACTTCAGAAGTTTGTAGTATGATCAGGCACACAGAGTCCCAAGTGATTCAGATGCAAAAGATTTCTTGGCAATTGGATTTCTGCATGTATGTTTCTCTGTAGCTACTTTGGTGCCTGTCAGTAATATAACCAAAAGGAAAAACCAAGTGGAAAGTAAAAGTAATCTGCTGGTAACTTCAATTTAGTTTTCTTTTTATAAAAGGAACTCTATTGATGTTAGCACTGTTTTAATGGTTTTCTGTTGTGTAGTAGACAGTTTTCATTTGGGATTGTCAAGTTAGTTGTAAATAATTGTATAGTTTCAATGAAATGCCTGTCTGTATTCACACTAGGATATTTTCTCATTGCACAAATTTCCATATTTTTCTCTGATCAAGTGAGACAGATTATAAAACACAAAGGCCCCTCTAAGGCCCTTCGGATGTGTTCCAGCAATATGCAGCAGCCCCCCACCCCCTTTTTTATTTCCCCTGTGACAGGGTCTCTCTCTGTTGCCCAGTCTAGAGTGCAGTGGCACAATCTTGTCTCACTTCAGGCTTGACTTCCCGGGCTTAAGCTATCCTCCCATCTCAGCCTCTCGAGTAGCTGGGATCATAGGTATGTGCCACCATGCCTGGCTAATTTTTGTATTTTTTGTAGAGATGGCGTTTTGCCATATTGCCTGGGTTGGTCATGAACTCCTGGGTTCCAGCAGTCCCCTCCTCAGCCTCCCAAATTGCTGGTTTATAAAGTTGGGAGCTACTGCGCCTGGCCACAGCACACATTTATAAAAAATGTTCATGTGATTCCAAATTTAAAATAGAGTGATTTCTGTGACTTTTTTTAATTGTTCACTTTTTTAACATGCAGTTTCATCTTAGATGTATGATATTGTATGTAAATTGATTTGTATTTCTAAAAAAATGAAATTAAGGGACTCCATATCTACCTGTAAGATTTCTCAACAAAAATTTACAAAGCTAGCTGGGAAGACATGTATGTACTTCTTGAATTTCCTCCTGCTATTCCTTTTCCCCATCTTCCTTAGAGAGGCAAAGAAGAAGAGAGAGGGAGATTTACTTTTAAAATAGGAGAACATTAAATGCTTTATTATTAATGTGTTACATTAAGCAGTTTTAAGTCATAGTATCTCAAGTACATACTATCCTTTATATTGCCCCCAACACCCAAAATATACACACATTGGGAAAAGAATGGGGGCTCTTTGGGGGTTTCCTTCTAGAGTTGCCAGGTGAAATAGAATTTCTAGTTTATTAATAGTATGGCACTTGCAGCCCCAATTAATTTGAATGCTCTATAATGTTCAAAAAGAGTTTTGAGAAAATTTCCTCCTAAAATTAATGCCTTAGTAGAAAAAAAGATTGGTTTCTCCTGTTCTCTTCCCCAAATTAGATGGAAAGTAAACAAGACTGGAAAATAGGTAATTGAGACTAAGATGATTCACAGATTGATCACCCATTTTGCAACAGTCATAAAATTTGTTAGTTTTTTTGAAGAAGTTTATTAATCAGTCCCATATCCTTTGAGTATCCTCTACTCCCCTGTGATACTGGTTTGATATTAATTAAGCTAATATTTACTGGGTTCTTGGTATCCATTAGGTATTCTTCTAAGCAACTTTATATGTGTTAGCTCATTTAATAATAATATTAAGCCAACATTCTCTGAGGTAGACACTATTATATTCCTTTTATAGATGAGGAAACTGAGGCTCAGAGATAAAGTAATCTGCCTACATTTGCGCAGCTAGGTGGCAGAGCTGGGATTCAAAGACAGTGACTCTAGAGTCTTTTAACCGTTCTACTATAAAGCCTATGTAGTATTTTTCATTTTTGTATTTTTCTTTAAAGGAATTTAGTACAAGTCATTAATTTTATTCTGAGGTTGAGATAGAAATTAATTTCCCTAATTTACAAGTGATGGTAACGACATAAAAAATGTAAAGACTTGGCCGTAACTGTGGAGACAGTTTCTGACGAGATTTGGTATGTTTAGGGTGGCATTGCCATAGATTGGAGGTTTCTTGGGTTTCTGTTAAGTCTTGGTCTTCTGCTAGTATGCATTGTCTCTTTTGAACAAGCTCAGGGAGTGTCAGCATAATCATACTTCTTTGAGTTCTGTCAGCCTAAACTGTTTTCACATTCTTTTCACATGTCAGAATTTTTGGCTGGGTGCAGTGGCTCACACCTGTAATCTCAGCACTTTGGGAGGCCGAGGCAGGCAGATTACCTGAGGTCAGTAGCTCGGGACCAGCCTGGCCAACATGGTGAAACCCCGTCTCTACTAAAAATACAAAAGTTAGCCGGATGTGGTGGCACACACCTGTAATCCCAGCTACTTGGGAGGCAGAGACAGGAGAATCACTTGAACCCAGGAGGCGGAGGTTGCAGTGAGCCATAAGAGCATGGCACTGCACCCCAACCTGGGTAACAGAGCAAGACTCCGTTTCCCAAAAAAAAAAAAAAGAGAGAGAACTTCCTATGTGGACGTTAAAAAAGAAAAGTTTTTGTTTTGTTTTTTACATTGGCATGGTGGTTTAACTAGATGACTTATAAAGTATTTTTCAACATTGTTTTATGAGTCAACACTTCTTCTTTCATTGGACAAATACTTTTAAAACTTATTATTGCTATGTGCCAGGTATATTCTGTGTTATAATTGCCACAAATGTGAGCAGATTGATAAACTTTAACTTAGATGATGAGCTATTGTTTAGTAATCTCATGTTACACTCAGAGTATTCTCATACCACCAGTATGATTCTTATGCTTATGTTTCTTTGAGGTATTCTAGATTCCAGTTGAATTTTTTTTTAAACTTATTTGAAAACGGTCACCAGCAAATCTACTTTTAAAGAGATATAATAAGGCTTTGACTGTGAAGACTTAAGAGTAATAGTGGGGTTGATTAAATATGTTTTCTTGTATTTCTTTGTAATTTTATTGCTGTGACTATTTGTAGAGGCAGAAAGTGTAGCATTTTTAAAAATTGAGTATTTTAGACAAATAACCACTCCCAAAGTGTTCACTCTTGGGAAATGTTATATCTTTGTTATTGAGAGTATGTTTTGTAAAGCCATATCCCACCTGAAATAAAAAGAATTACAGACTTCAGAAAGTTAAGGTAGACAGCATTTTCTTGGCTACTGGGGCTAATTAGAATATATGATTCTCTATGCAGGACAGCCACCTTAGGGACTCTGAATCTCTCAGTAGGGTAAAATTTTTATATTTATATAAAAGATTGTGGGTTAAAAAATGGTTGAGAAATACTGTTTTTGAGTAAACCCAAGGACTGGTGTTTAAAGGTTATATAGTATTTTACTTAGGTTCTAGAAATCTGTAAGGTGTCTGAATCAAATCTTGTAACATTGGATTTATTGTGATTTATTTATAAAACATTTAAGGATCAAATCAACTAAGTAAATATTTACAAGCTGATGGCTGGATAATTTAATTGCAGTTTATAGTCATAATCAAGAATTGACATGTTTTGCTTTATGTGTTTGAAGCTTACGACCTTTTGACATGAAGGAAATTGCTAACATTTAGGAAATAGTTACTTATTTAGATTAATGTCTTTCTCCTGAACTGACTTATCCATTTTAATGCTCAGATCTTAGAAAGTACATAGATGTAAAAAATCGACTCGGTGTGGTGGCTCACACCTGTAATCCTAGCACTTGGGAAGGCTGAGGTGAGCAGATCACTTGAGTCCAGGAATTTGAGACCAGCCTGGGTGACATGGCAAAACTCTGTCTCTCCAAAAAAAAAAAAAAGCTGGATGTGGTAGCATGTGTCTGCAGTCTCGGCTACTTGGGAGGCTGTGGTGGGAAGATGGGTTGAGCCTGGGAGGTGGGGGTTGCAGTGAGCTGAGATCGTACCAGTGTACTCCAGCCTGGGCGACAGAGTGAGACTCCCGTCTTAAAACAAAACAAAACAAAAACAACTAAAAACCACAAATAAACATATATATTACTTAAAATCATAAGTTGGATATTTCTTATAAAGTAGTAATTGTGTAATGCCTCATGTATCTCTGTGTATCATTTCAATGGTAAGTTCAAAAGATGAAGGAGATTAAAGAAAAACCTTTTTCATCTTGACACTACCTAAGACATAACAGAAATTTAACAAATAACAAGTATATAAAAATAGAGATTTTTAAAAATTGTCCTTAATTTTATCTTTGTTGGGTATATAAATCTGCTCTCTGGGATAGTTCTACTGCTTTAAGTAATGAGGAATGCACTAGTTTCATATTCTAAGGATAACCTAAGGATATCCCATATATTTTCACAACTAAATAAACTCATAGCCTGAAATTTCAAAATTTTATTCTCTTATGTCGTTAAATTATAGTTCCTTAGGGTTCATTTACGATCTCTGGTGTAAACTTTCCATTTCAGATTTAAAAAGTCCCTGAGCTCTTGAAAGTTAAATTTACTTGTCATTTGTCTCAAAGATAATGGCTGAACTAAGATTAGGATTTTAGAGGAATGCAGTATTGATTGTTCTTTCCCTTCTTCCTCTAGTACTAACAGGTTACAATTATATTTTGTTTGTTAAGTCGTAATGGAACGCTATAAATAAGTTCATTATTTTCAGCCTTATGCATAGGGCTCTAAATAAATAGCTTGGTTTTAGAAGAAAACTAAAAGTAATTCTTTCCATAAGTTTTAAGTTTCTGTGTTTTTGTTTTATTTTTAAAAATTAAGGAGTCAAAAATAATGGGCTTTTATTACAACAAGCTTACAAAAATAGTCATAGTAACATAATGCTTTTATCATTGGCTTATATATTATATAAAATACATACATTATTACACATATAAGATTACAAATAAACTTTGGTAAAGCTGAAGTACTATATTATGTTACATAATTGAATATATCAATGTAATATGAATGTTTATTGTTTTTCTCTGGATGTTTCAAATTAGGCTGTAAGTATCTAAGGATGAGTTTGGCTAAACTATCAAATGTAAAAATATTTTATAGCAATTACTTTGGAGATTTGTTACCATGCCTGTATGATACTTCTAGTATATTTCTAAGCATGTTTCTGTTTATATCAGTCCATGAGGCTTTTATAGGCATACTTGGTATGCTAGAGTTACAGCCAGTTTCTTAAGTAGATCATTTGATAGTATGTAGGTAGAACACAGTTAAACTGAGAGCAAGAAGGGTGAAGGGACAAAGGTGCTATTTATTCTCCCACATGTTTGTTACATAAATTTGGAAAGTTGAGTGCAAATGTAAAATGTATAGTCATGGAGTAGATTATCTTAGAGCCAAAGGGATTAATCAGCTTCACGTTCAAACAGGAAATTAAAATAGCATCCTTTAGACAGTGTAATTCTGTTTTCCTGTCGCAGGGCACAAACACTAAAATGGAATAAAACATTTTATATTCTCATAGGTTCCATGTGCCTTGTGAAGTCATGGTTCCTCAGTATAAGATCGAGGTAGTAAATTAATCATTTCCATTTGTCTATCTTTTATTTTTCTAAGTAAAGATCTGGTTGCAGTAGTGTTTATATTTTGAATAGCAGGCAATCCTGGAAGTAGGGAGATGGGTAGAAATGGAAGAGATTTATATATGAGATGACTAGGACTGAGCTTTTAGAACAAATTAAAGACCAAGTAAATGAGTATTTTTTGAGACTGAGGTTAAATTGAGTTAAAATTGGAATAACTGGTTCAGAGTAAAATGTAAATGTTTAAGTTACATGTAGGCATTTAAAACCTCTAGTAGTATGTTTTTCAAGTGTCCATAGAAATTCTGCACTTGCTATTTATATTGTAATATCTTCTCTGTTTTTCCCCTAGGTGGTATCACGGAAAACTTGACAGAACGATAGCAGAAGAACGCCTCAGGCAGGCAGGGAAGTCTGGCAGTTATCTTATAAGAGAGAGTGATCGGAGGCCAGGGTCCTTTGTACTTTCATTTCTTAGCCAGATGAATGTTGTCAACCATTTTAGGTAAGTCTTTATTCCTATTATGAAGCCAAATGATGTAGCTATTTTGATATAATATTCATAAATATACCTGTATAATAAAGGTGAATGACTCAGTAACAAATAATAGAGAAGGAAGCTTGTTTTCAGTCAAATGATTTAATCAGTGATTTAGAGAGATTCTTTTGAATGTTTACATTTTTTGTTTAAAAACAATATTGTTGGGCATTACTGTGCTGATCCTCAAATATATTTATAGTTTTTAAAGTATAAAGAATTACAAATAAACTTTGAGTGGTAAGGCTAAAATAAAGGAATTGTATACTTTTAGACTGCAGAATAACAAAAAGTGTAGGAAACCCTGTTTAAAACTCAAATTTTGTGTCCTTTATTTTAGCTTCACTATTCTAAAACTCTTCGCAGACATGCACTTCAGTGAAACAGACATATAAATTTTCAAGTACAAATATTCTGTATATATAAACATATTTACCCATATTGTATTGTTTCATTTTTATAGAAGAAATTGAAAAAAATCATCTAATGCATATAGTGTTAAATGATAAAATGTTTGTGTACCCTTGGTTTTTAGATTTTAAAATAAGGTTCAGTAGTACCATGATACCACATGTAGTATGTGAAATTATTACTGTACTTTGTGTAAATATTGCAAGAGATCTGTGAGCTCCTTTTAGCCATATAAAACTTATTAAATTGTTAATTCAGCCTTAAATATGGAAAGTGAGAAGAGGTATCTGAGGGTGAGTTTTCAGATATTTGATGGAATTCTGTAATTGAGGTTTATAAGCCTGATATGTATTTCACATCAAATGCATGTATATATATGTAAGAGAAATAGCCCCAAGTAATTTACTGTGATGAAGATACTAATAAGTGGTATTTTAGTATAAGGATATAGTTACAAGGAAAAGAGTATGGAAATTATGGATTTATAATTTCTTTATAAAACTTGATTTTTAAAATTGGCTGTAAAGATTTTTTTATACTGTATTTTTTCCTGTTCAAATAGGATTATTGCTATGTGTGGAGATTACTACATTGGTGGAAGACGTTTTTCTTCACTGTCAGACCTAATAGGTTATTACAGTCATGTTTCTTGTTTGCTTAAAGGAGAAAAATTACTTTACCCAGTTGCACCACCAGAGGCAAGTAAAATGAATAAAATATCTTTCAAAACTTTATTTTTTCAGTACAATAATGGTTTTAGCTATTGCTCAGTTTCTTATGTTTATTATAATTCAAGAAGTATTTGTTGTATTAAATTTTAATTCGGGTTATAATGTCAGAACAAAATGGACAACTTCTTTGAAAAAAAAAGAAAATATTTTTCAATAATTTTGTATTTAAGTAACCAGATTAAAAGAAAATACTGTATGGTGATAGCCTAACAAATATTTCTGAATGTATGGGAACAAATTACTGATTTCATAGTATTAACCCTGACTTTGCTGCAAGATTCTGAAATGCCTTGTGTATCATCAATGAAAGGTTAATGTATATGTTTCATGTAGTATATTTAAAATGAAATGATCATTCATATTACGTTATAAAAGCATACTGCTTATATTTAAAATATGATTTTCATAAAAACAGGAACAACAAAAAAGCCTTTCTAGGCACTGGGTATTTATAGTCCAAGTAAAAATTTATTTGAATGATCCCATGGAGTTTCTAATGTGAATTTTTATTGGCTTTATGTGGATATACCTCTTTTGACTTTAAGATAAAAAGACTATCTTTTTAAATCTTTTTTTTTTTATGGTTTCTAGCCAGTAGAAGATAGAAGGCGTGTACGAGCTATTCTACCTTACACAAAAGTACCAGACACTGATGAAATAAGGTATTTTATAATCTATTCTCATGTATAGGCATTTGAAAGAGCTAGACTTCGAAGATTTATTACTCTTGGACTAGGAAGCTTTTGAAATTTGAAGAAATGGCATACAGCAAGGTGAAAGAGCTTTTGATATTGGGTCTGTTGGTCCTGTATCTCTGGGTTGGCTTATTTGTTCAGACTGTGGTTTTGGATCAGGGTGGCCTCAGTGAATATGATAGGAGAAATAGTTAGGTTTTATTCCACTGTCTCTCACAAAGTAAGGAGAGTTCTGCTTCAATCTATATGCTATGTAAATTTTTGTTACCATGTGACATTTATGCCACAGCTATAAAGGATAAGCTTCTACTTTATGTAATGGGTGAATAATTTTAAACCTTAGGAATGTTATAGAACTATGCAACATGTTAGTTTGTGGTTTTATTTCTATATAATTATATAATTTGATAATCAGATTATCTGTGTCTTTCTATAAGCTATTTAATTTTCTAGTGGAAACTTTGTTTCTTACCATTAATTCTCTCATTTAATTCTTACTGACACATTTTTATTTGTAATGTAAACTGGACAGGCCTATAAATGACAAAGGAAAAAATGCATATATTGAAGAACAGGGATGAATTACAAATTTATGAATTTAGGTAATTTTAAAAAATTTTTAGTGGGATCATTTAGGACAGCAGTTCTGTAAGTGTGTTTCATGTAACTATGGGGATCTTTGAGATCCATTTAGAAGGTTCATGTATTAGTCAGTGTTCTCTAGAGGAGATTTTTTTACGGAGAATAGGTTTACACAATGATAGATGGAGACAGTAAAGACCCACAATCGGCTGTCTGCAATCTGAAAACCCAAGAAAGCCAGTGGTATAATTCAGTCTACATCTGAAGACCTGAGAACCAGGGGAGCCTATGGTGTAAATCATAGTCTGAGGGCAGGAGAAGATGAGATGAGATGTCCCAGCTCAACCAGTAAGGCAGCAGAAAGGGATGAATTTCTTCCTCCTCCATTTTTTGTTCTGTTCAGACCCTCAGTGAATTGGATGATGCCCACTCACATTGGGGATGGCAGGATACTGTCCTCTGATTCAAATGCTAATCTTATCCAGAAACACCCTCACAGAGAAACCCAGAAATATAATGTTTAATCTGGGAACCCTATGGCCCAGCCAAGTTGACACATAAAATTAGCCATCACAGTCCATGAGATCAGATTATTTTCATAACATACTAAGACATAACTTGCCTTTTTCACTGTAAATTTTACAATGATGGTACAAAAGCAATGGATGGTAAAACTGCTGGTGCCTTAATAGAAATCAAGGCTGTGGCACAAAAGTGTACTGTATTCTTCACTGTTACACACTTAGAGTTAAAGACAGTTTCATTGAAGAGTGTTGTTGATGAGGGAGTAAAAAATATTTATTGAATTTCAACCTGTGACTACACAACTTTAATCTGTATGATGAAATGGGAAGTATGTATAAAACACTTCTGCTGTGTACCAGGGATCAGTGTCATGAGGAAAAGCAGTGAGTTGAGAGCTGAACTAGTTTGTTCCTTTTTTTTTTTTGAGACAGAATCTTGCTCTGTTACCCAGGCTGGAGTGCAGTGGCACGATCTTGCCTCACTGCAATCTCCACCTCCTGGGTTCAAGGGATTCTTTGCCTCGGTCTTCTGAGCAGCTGGAATTACAGGCGTGTGTCACCAAGTCCAGCTAAGTTTTGTAATTTAGTAGAGATGGGGTTTTGCCATGTTGGCCAGGCCAGTCTTGAACTCTTGACCTCAAGTGATCTGCCCGCCTTGGCCTCCCAAAGTGCTGGAATTATGGGCATGAGCCACTGCACCTGGCTTAGCTGTTACTTTTGTGCACACCATTTTCACTTGAGAGAATGTTTGACATTTTTTGAAGAAGAACAGAGTGAGTCTATTATTTCAAGGAAGAAAACTTAGTGTTTGTTGCCAATGACAAAATTTGAGTTTTGAGTAAAAATTTGAATTTTAGACATTCTGTATTGGCCATCAAGAGTTTGACAGCTTCTGAAATAATGACTTTTCTGATGAGATAGGTGAAGATAATAAAGAATGAGGTTTTTTTTTTTTTTTTTTTTTTTTTGTGACAGTTTCGCTCTTGTCACCCAGGCTGGAGTGCAATGGTGCCATCTTGGGTCACTGCAACCTCCGCCACCTGGGTTCAAGCGATTCTCCTGCCTCAGCCTCCTGAGTAGCTGGAACTATGGGCGTCTGCCACCACACCTGGCTAATTTTGATATTTTTAGTAGAGATGGGGTTTCACCATGTTGGCCAGGGTAGTCTTGAACTACTGACCTCGGGTGATCTGCCCGCCTTGGCCTCCCAAAGTGCTGGGATTGCAGGCATGAGCCATCGTGGCTGGCCAAGAATGAGAGGTTTTGATAGTGTATAATGTGTTAACAACTAGAAGATATAGATAGCTCAGTGAACTAATATTTTCTAAAAGGTCAACGCATGTTGTTACAAAATTATGCATGGGTAAAAGATTCATTTAAAGTGCAAGATAGACCAATAGATGTTATTGGAATGCATAAAGTTCACTGATAAATAGTTTTGGATTCCATATTACAACTAACCTTCAAGAAAGTACCACTCGTTGAGTTTTTGGTGTAATTTCATAGAATATCTATAATTATCAGAAAAGGCTATTAAAATACTTATCCTTTTCACAACTACATTCTTAGGTGAAGCCAGATTTTCCTCATATGTTTTAAGCAAAAAAATCATATAGCAGCAAATTTAATGCAGAAACAGATATGGGACTCCAGCAGTTTTCATTTAAGCCAGGCATTAAGAGATTTGCAAAATTATAAAACAGTGATATTCTCACTAAATTTGTAAAAGTATCTTTTTCATATTTTTAATGAGCTATTTTTAAAGGAATTAGTGAATATTTTCAAACATTTGTTTTAAATTTGAATATGGTAAATATCAGTAGATATCCATATAAATAAAAGCCATTTAGGATGTCATTTTTAAGAGTGTAAAGAGGTCCTGGGAGACCAAAAAGAAAAAAAAAATAGCTGATCTAGGAAGATGGGAATTTAAATAATACTTTGATGATATAAATTTGGATTTATGAGTCTTTTAAAAAGTTTATACACACCTGTGGATTTTAAAATAAAAATACCTTAAAAATTAATGATTTAATAAAGCACTTTAGCCTGTTTTAGGGGGGATAACACAAAATAATATAGAATGAGTTATGATTAGATTGTATTACTACTAACAAGCTTATTTAAAACTTTTTTTGGTTTTTGCACCATGAAAAGTTGGTATAGCAACAACAATGAAACTTGAAATTAGAAATATCTCTTATGGCTACTTTTAACTAAGAAATGAAATTTACCAGTTCATGTGCACCCTCCTTTTACTCATAATGATTTTCTTTAATGTGCTTATTTAGGTGGTTCTAGAAAGGAATAGTTTAATTGGTTAAGTGGTAATGTCTGCTGCCATTCAGCTAGTGAAATATTGGCCATCATTAAGAAGGATTGTAGAATCAAGATAGAATACAATATTCTATGATTATTCAAATATTGAGTTAAATGTTGTATAATACAAGTTCTGTTGTCTGAAACATTGTCCAAGATACAATGAAGCTTGAGATAGCATAGAGAAAGCAGTTAAAGCTTTCAAGGATAGGAGAAGAGATTTACTTAAATTTACTTAATAGATTTTGATTTGTGAATATTAAGATTGAAAGGAAAATTGCTGGAAAAAAAGACAAATACAGTTATAGATACAGGGTTAATGGTACCATCCAACAAATCTGGAAACTTTGTATTCAGATGCATTCTTTTAAGCCTGAAAGGACAAATTCAAGAATTACTAATGGTTTTATATTGATGAAATACATCAGCAACTTGTTGTTTCCATAATTGTGTGGAGGTTGAAAACATCTAGGTTTCAGTAAAAGGAAACTAAGTTGTATATGCATCTCTGTACTCTTAAATTGGTAACAGAAAAAAAACATACATTCCTTTCTCATAATATATCCCTTGGTACCTACCACTTTCAGAGAAAGAATGCTGTACCCATTGGATAATGGGTATCTGGGTGAATTAAACAAGCCCTGGTTTTTTTATAAGAAAAATGTTAACTGACATAAGCATCTACATCATGCTTATCTAAAATAAACATTTTCTGAAGTAACTCTATATCTTATGTATGTATAGTGTGTTAATTATATTTATTTTGTGTTTTGATTTTATATCTACCCTACATCTGAAAGAGTAATAACATTGAAGCATAAGTTTTTCAATTCAGTTTTCTTGTAGTTACACCCCAAAACCTTCAATATATGTACAATCAGTTTCTGTTAACAGAAGTTGTAATTTGAATCTAACAATAATTCAGTGATATAGTTAGTGCAGATACTACTATCAAACCCATTTTACTCATGAGGTAATTAAAATTCAGATTATTTATTATTTTCAGGAATTGACATGTGGATAATGCCAGAAATAGGATACAAATTTAGGGTGTTTGACTCTAATTCCTTACATTTTTCAATATAATACTATCCCTATCCTATTTTGTGGTATATGACTATTCTAATCTCTGTATTTAAAATTTTTAAATTTAATAACTTTAAAATTGCTATTTTCAGTTTCTTAAAAGGAGATATGTTCATTGTTCATAATGAATTAGAAGATGGATGGATGTGGGTTACAAATTTAAGAACAGATGAACAAGGCCTTATTGTTGAAGACCTAGTAGAAGAGGTGGTAAGTTTTGTTCTTTTCTTCTCAATTCTAGATTCTAAATATTTTATAAATTTGGATCTTGTCCGTAATCAGAGAAAGTAGCTATGAATACATTTCTTTTATAAAAGAACTTAATTGATAAGTACAAGAATTATAAGTGCTGTTTGTTAGTATGGAACATAATCAGGCTAGCATATTATAATACATAGCTGCCAATATTCAGAAAGCTTGTATGATTTTCTATGAATTAAAAATATATTAACATTTGTGTTTTCTTTTGAGACAGAGTCTTGGTCTGTTACCCAGGCTAGAGTGCAGTGGCGTGATCTCGGCTCACTGCAACCTCCACCTCCCAGGTTCAAGCATTTCTCGTGCCTCAGCCACCCAGCTAGCTGGGATTACAGACATGTGCCACCATGCCCAGCTAATTTTATATATATATATATATATATATATATATATAAAATTTTTTTTTTTTTTAAGTAGAAATGGGGTTTTACCATGTTGGCCAGGCTGGTCTCAAACGCCTGACCTCAAGTGTTCCACCCGCCTTAGCCTCCCAAAGTACTGGGATGACAGGCATGAGCCACAGTGCCCGGCCTATTTGTGCTTATTTTTGTTCTTTTTTTTGCCGTCCTTTTCTTCCTCATAAGTGAAGTTATATCAGTCTGATCATGAAACCTCAACTGGTTACACATGTTTGGTTTTAGATTCTTTATCTTTCAAATATATATATAATTTTCCAGTAAACTTGGAAGAATTCATTTATATTATACATATATTATCACATGGTTCTACATTTTGAATCTCGTCCTTGTTTTTGTTTCCATCATATAATACGTTATCATGGTATCAATTACCAGGTGCATTTTTAATAACAGGTCAGCATTTGAATGGCTTTTATATTTCAGAGACAATACTCAGTATCAAATATATTGTACATTATAACTTTGGAATTCTCCCTTTCCTTTCGGATTTTTCTAGTGAGATGGAGTGGCTTTCTGTTGTCTTTTACAGCCTTCAAAGCTACTGTTTTTAAATTATGCCACAGACCTGATAATATTCTGAAGAGTATTGCTCCTGGAAGACTGCAGTGGAGAATATTGTTTTTTCCTATTAATTCTCTTACCTGCCTATTCTGGCAACCAAATCTTGATCCATAGAAGTAAAACATACTGAGTAGAGGTGGGAAAAGTTGAGGAAATGGTGTGATACAGTCCATACTCATAGTCATATAGTTATTTAGTGAAAGAGCTAGGATTAGGACTCCTAATTCCTAGATTAGTATTCTGTATTCTACAGTAAAAGAGATATTTACTCCATATAGGCAAACAGTATTCGTACTGAAGCATCTTACTATGATAGTTTTCCTATAAAATTTGTTAGTTACAACTTTTAGTTTGGGTTTCCCTCTCCTTGCTGTACCACCATCTTCTCCATCCTGATTACTTCAAGAAATTGCACTATAGTTGAACTTTTCTTGAGCTCTTGGAATTCTGGATCAAATTTAACAAGATAACCTTTAAAGAAAAGTGAAAATTACTCAATGTATACAGAAAAATAATAATAACAACCCAAACCAGAATAAGGAGACATGACCTCACATCAGTACAAGGGATCAAGGAAAAAGTTAGCAACTCAGTATGAGTGAATAATGTGATGTGGTTGCTAAAAATGAATATAGTAACATTATAAATTAATAGTGGAGTAATTCCACGTCATTTATAAACAATTTTCACTCCAATATGTAGAATAACTTTCATGATGGGCTTTATTAGAGGGTAGTGAATTCTTTGTAGATTGAAAAACCATTTGGACATTGTCTAGTCTGTGAAGATGTTTCGGGCATTCAGTTAGTGGTTAGATTTAAGGAATTTCTCCTTCTAAAATTCTAATTACAGTTCCCCAAACACATTTATACTTTCATGTATTAACTCTAGAATGTATGCTCTCTGAGGGGAGGGATTTTTGTCTCTGATTCACTGATGTATTACCATTGCCTAGAATAGTGTCTGGCATTAGTAGGCATTCAGAAAATGTTTGTTGAGTAAATGAATGTTTCTATGTTTATAGTTTTCCCTCTTCCTTGACATTCTTGCCCTGATAGATTGCCTTGTAAAATTTGATTCATCTTTATGAGCTCAGTTCATATGTCATCCCTGTTTCACAGAGGATTTATGCCTTTCTGGAGTCTCTTAGGCAAAATTGTTTCCTTCTGTATTTCCATAGCACCTTGCTAATTCTGCATTCTGTTACACTGTCTAAAATTAATAATTGTGTAAAACTCTTCTACAAGAGATTAACTCCTTTTGGGCAGTGACACAATGATAATGCTATTCATTTTTATAGTTTTTTTTTTTAAGCCTACTCCCTTGGATATAGTAACATTCAGTGAGTGTTTGATTTTAGTTTGATTAGGTATTTAATGAGTGAGGACCAAATTGTGAGAAGTAAATCCACATGTAGTTAGACCATTTTTCTCCATAATAGTGGAATGAGTAACACTATTGTATCTTAAATCAGAGGAATATAGAATAAAATAAAGTTCAAAACATAGTAAAAGGGGGATGTCTTTTATATTGAAAGTAGAAGTTGATGTTCACTTTTTACGGGCTCAGAATGTCTTACTGAAGAGGTAGCATTTGAGATAGTTCCTTCCCAGATTGGTTAGGTATTTATCTAACAAGTAGAAAGCAAAAAGTGGAAAGTACATTCTAAGAACAAAAAGTACAAGCTACAGTGGTGGGAGATTGGCAAATAGGAAGTTATGTGTGACCATGGTATAGGAACCAAAAAACAATTGGTAGTATGAGACAGGAAATGTAGACTTGAGTCCTGTGGTAAACGACTTCAGTTGCAGAATGAGAAATTTGTAGGCAGTAGAGAGGTGTTTTTTTTTTGTTTGGTTTTTCTTAATGTAGGGCACAGCTGCTGTTGAAACTGATGTATCCAGATTAGAGTGGTGGAGTAGGACATAATTATATTAGTTGGGCTGTTGTTTAAGAAAAGTCGATAAGAGGGCCTGAGTTAGGGTAATGGCAACAAGAAAAGATTAAGAGAGGTTTGGAAAGATATTTACTGAACAGAAACATCTTTTTTTATATAAACATAAATAAGGATAGTGTGGGGATATGTTTGCAGATACGATTTTCATGAATTTTAATAAAAATTGATTAATAGTTAATTATATAAAATACTGTCTTAATGTCTTCCCTTTAGGGCCGGGAAGAAGATCCACATGAAGGAAAAATGTGAGTTTGTGTTAATTATTAAAATGAAAAAAAAAATCTATATTGTAAATTTACTAATTGGAAAACTTTGGCCAAAAAAATTGTTTTTTAAGGTTTTGGACTGACTTAACTTTTAAATTTGGCTTAGGGAACTGATTTCTAAATATTTTCTTAAGGATCTAGTGATAAAGTCTTGTTTTTAAATAAAAGGTAGCTGATAACTAAATATAACTCTTTTTATCACCACACTGAAGACTTTGAATAAACACTACATTTATAACATTATGAATGTCACAATTTGGCACATTTTAAAATTATTCATAGTATTTCTTGGTTATTCATAGTATTTCTTGTTTTATAGCCACATCTTTTATCCCCCCAAAATAACGGTTCTTCACAATTTTAATAAGATTCAGCAAGGTCTTTTTTTTTCATAATCTTCAGACTGATTTTATGTATATGTAAGTTTTCTTTTGAAGATCTGAACCATTAATCCCAATTCTCTCTTACTCACATTTTAATAGACTATTCATCTCCTAATATCTTTTCAGTACAACATTTTTTCTTATCTTTCAGCATTTAGGGATGGAACTTGAGGCTTGCCTCAAGTGTTTGCTTTTTCTGTTTTCTAACCATTAGAATATAAAAACATTCAACTGACTACTCCATTTGCAGTCACCTTGTTTAATGCTTCACCCTTCTGTAAGTGGAATATGTAAGATATATTCTGAGTTCATTTTTATTGTTTCTTGTAGCTACAAAATAGATTCCATTAGTGAGACTGTACCCTGCTGTTTGTATTAGTTTGAAGTCTCCTCTCTACCTATATCAGGAGTTTCAAATTCTTTTTTGTTATTTTTTCTTTTTTTTTTTTTTTGAGACAGAGTCTTGCTCTGTTGCCCAGGCTGGAGTGCAATGGCACGATCTCTGCTCACTGCAACCCCTGCCTCCTGGATTCAAACGATTCTCTGCCTTAGTCTCCTGAGTAGCTGGGACCACCGGCGCACAACACCATGCTAGGCTGGTTATTGTACCTTTAGTAGAGATGCGGTTTTGCCATGTTGGCCAGGCTTGTCTTGAACTCCTGACCTCAAGTAATCTACCAGCCTCGGCCTCCCAAAGTGCTGGAATTACAGGCATGAGCCACTGTGCCCAGCTAGGAGTTGCAAATTCTAATTAATGCTTGGAAGAATCAGACAGACAATGTAAGCAAGTGAAGCGGGTCAAGTATATATATTCCCAGTTTTCTTTAGACACAATAATCTTGATCTTTCTTATTTTCCCTCGTTGCTAGAGATCAAGGTACATGGAACTGTGTCCCTACTGTCAAAAAACAACACTGTACGTGTGGTAATAAATGGCAACTAATATTCACTCACGGTGTTAGGGAAAACTGTGGGAAGTAGAAAACTAGAAAGTGTTTGCCTATTGTAAGGTAATCACTTTGTCTAGTTGTCTAGTTGATATGTGTAGGAATGTGAGTCTAGTGTTGTTAGATCCTTCTGATTTTCAAAAAAAGACCATAAATCTAGGTTTTTTTATTTTAGATAATAGCAATGGAATTTTAAATTTAAAAATATAGGTTAAATGCTAGTAAACATTTAAAGCTACATCAGTTTTCTCATAGTATAAAATATAAATCCCACTTTCACTCGGAAGTCTTTTTATCTGATAGCATTGTCATTCTTCCATTTTTCTTAACTTTATGTAATTTCTTAATTGGGGCATAACTTAAATTTGCATTGTTGGTTTATTTTATGTGTATGTTTGTTCCCTTTAATTTCCTAATATAGGGACTGTCGCAGTACTTTAAATTCTTTAAAGTGTCCTCAGTAACATCTACAAGTAACCTTTGAGATTAAATAGATGGTATAACTTTGGTTGAATTTCTTTCCAGCTCCCTATTTACATGATATGGGCACCAAGTCCTGATGACTTTATCTCTTAAAGTATTTCTTAAATGTTTACCGCCTTCTCAAATCTTAAATAACTACATTCTAGTTCAGGACTTTTTAAATCTCCTGCCAGGATTTGATATAACAGTAACCTCCAAGTTGATCTCCCTTGACTCTTTAGCCTCATCAAATCCTTTTTTCCAGTAGCTGGAATAATCTACCTAGATTGAATCACATTATCCTTAACTGCCAGCAGGTATATGAAAAAATGCTCACCATTCATTACTAATCATCAGATAAATGCAAATCAAAACTACAATGAGATTTCATTTCACCCCAGTTATAATGGCTTTTATCCAAAAGATAGGCTATAATGAATGCTAGTGAGGATGTGGAGAAAAGGGAAGCCTTGTACCCTGTTGGTGGGAATGTAAATGAGTGCAGTTACTATAGAGCACAGCATGGAAGTTCTTCAAAAAATTAAAAATAAAGCTACCATATGATCCGGCAATCCCACTGCTGGGTATATATCCAAAAGAAAGGAAATCAGTGTATCAAAGAGACAGCTGCACTCCTATGTTTCAGCACCATTCACAATAGCCGAGATGTTTAATCAACCTAAGTGTTCATCAGTGGATGAATGGATAAAGAAAATATAGTACATATACACAATGGAATACTATTCAGCCATAAACAAGAATGAAATCCTGTCATTCACAGCAACATGAATGGAACTGGCAAATACCATGTTAAGTGAAATAAGCCAGGCACAGAAAGACAAATACCATGTGTTCTCACTCATATGGGTGCAAAATATTAGAAAATTAACTCAGGGAGATAGATAGTAGAATGATGGTTACCAAAAGGTGGGAAGGGTAGCAGGGAAGGGGGGATACAATATGGCTGATTAATAGGTACAAAAATACATCTAGATAGAATGAATAAGATCTAATTTACTGGATATTTAAAAATAACTAAAAGAGTGGAATTTGAATATGCCTAATACAAAGAAATGATTATATGTGCTTGAGGTGATGGATACCCCATTTATCCTGACTTGATCATTAAACATTATATGCTTGTATCAAAACATCACTGGTACCCCATAAAAATAAACAAAATAGTTGTATACATTACCCATAAAAACAGAAAAAATAAAAATTAAAAAATTGAATCTTATACTGATTCTCCACCTTTACCTTAGCAGAGCCTAAAAAATGATCTGTTATCTGGTTATTTTGTCGTTTACTACTCCTAGCACTTATCATCTGTAGTTTCCTAATCTCCAGCATGTAGGTCTTCAAATTCATAATACTTTTTTCTTTATTGTTTTAGAGATAGGTTCTTGCCATTGCCCAAGCCGGAGTGCAGTAGTGCTATCATAGTTCACCTCAAACTCCTGGGCTCAAGTGATCTTCCTGCCTGAGCCTCCCGAGTAGCTGAGACTACAGGTGTGTACCACCACACCTGGCAAATGTTGTAATTTTTTTTTTTTTTTTTTTTTGTAAAGATGAGGTCTTACTATGCTGCCCAGACTGGTCTCAAACGCCTGGCCTCAAGTGATCCTCCCACCTTGGCCTTCCAAAGTGTTGGGATTACAGGTGTGAGCCATTGCTCCTAGCTATTTTTCTTTATACCTTTGCTCAAGCTGCTTCCTAGGCCAGAATTCTTCCATTCATACTTAGCTCATTCATCACTTCCCCCTAGAAAATCTTCCTTTATTTTCCTCTCTACACACTCAACAGTATTGGTACCCTTCTCTGTTACTCCCAAAATGCCTTTGGCAATACCTATCACTGTGCTTATTATAGTTTCTACATTGTTTCTATAGTTAGGGTCTCACTATGTTGCCAGGCTGGTCTTGGACTCTTGGGCTCAAGAGATCCTCCTGCCTTGGCCTCCGAAAGTACTGGGATTACAGGTGTGATCCCAGTTCCCACGCCTGGCCTAGGAGTAGGAACTTTATAAGAGCAGGGACTCATCTTTTTATCACTGTTGCAAACCATGTGGTTGAAATATATAAATTTTATATGGGAATAAATGTCTGAAAAATGAAACGAAAACTCTTTAGAAAGAGATATTGCCACTTTGGCTTCAGACTGTGTGCTTATGCTAAATAATCTTGTTCATCTGTAAACCCTATCACTTTTTTACCCTTCTTTTTTTGAATTTTTTTCAAACTGTAGAAGTAGAGGATTAGCCTTGGAGGTCAGGTCATGTAGTTGACTGTCCTCCAGAATATAAAAATCCTGCTCTAGCATTTGTAGTAAGTGGTCATTTAGCCTATACTTGAATGCAGTATAGAACCTCACTACTTGTAGTCTGAACTGTTTTAGTTGTTGTATTCTTGCTTTATATTATTCAAAATTTACACAGGGAGCACCAGGAGATCTGAATCAGTGAGTTAATGCTTGGAATGGTGTTAAAGAAAAGTTTACCTTTTCATTCATGTGAAAATTTAAAAATTCAGTTATATTTTCATACTTCACCAGTAATAATTGTATGGATCATTTAAAACAATGTGAATGACCTCTGAACCTGTCACACTGGACTTTTGAGCACTTATATATTTTAGTCGTATATTTACTTTCTAGCTTGCTCTTTATTATTAAAAATACTTGTAGACCCTAAGAAGATCCCACAAAGTAGTAGATAGGTGATCGGGAATTGTCAGCCTGGCATTAAGATGTGTTAATCAGCAAGATAGATAATAGGCCTTTAGGTAAATAAGAGGTGATTTTATGTACTTTGATGACTAGTAATTACTTTTTAAATCAGATATATCCTTTTATTTGAAGGTAAAATTTAAATACTTAGGTTATTGTATGCTCTATGTCTTGACTATGATGCCTTTTATAATAATTTCTAAAGGCTTAATTTAAGAATACAGAATATAAAATACATAGCAACCTAGTTTGATAGGCTGTTAGCTCAAATAGAGTTGAGAACACTAAGTCCTTCTTTTCTTTCAGTTCTTGATGGTGCTATCCACTCATTCTTATCACCCAATCTTATATTCTGACTTTCAGCAAAGTAAGAGTCAATATCTTGATTTTATTTGAGGAGAGAATTTATCAGATGTTATAGGAAAATTCAGAAATGAATTCATTAATTTTTTCAGGGAAGTTCTGGAGTAGGCTCTATCTGTACTACTCCTCCTTCCCCTTACCCCACAAAAAGAAAAAAAAGACCTATAACAGTCTGTTATTATCAGGATTAAAAATTGTTGCCATTTTTGTATTGGTAATGAAAATTGTAGTTTATATTTGATAGTTTCTAGTTTTACTATCTTTAGTTGAAATTAAGTATAATATGTATATAAAATGTATTAAAATGTAATAAGAATGAGATGATTTGATTAATTGCATTTATTTTATCACTTTGAATTAAACTTACTATATTGGTTGTTTAATTTTGATCATATGATAACAGCAAAAAGGACTTTATTTATATATCTAATTTATTCTCTTTTTAAGATGGTTCCATGGGAAGATTTCCAAACAGGAAGCTTATAATTTACTAATGACAGGTACTTACATATTTACTTGCTTTTCTAATGTCTATTTAAAGAGAATAAAAAAGTGAACAAACCATTTATCATGTGTTTTGCCTTTAGCATTCAGTTAGTGTTTATGCATGTTATAATTTCGTGTCCAGTACTAAGAAGCTGGTGTTTTTATTTATATTTTAAACATACATGTGTTATAAAATTTAGTCAAGTGTGTTTTTCTTTTACCCCAGGCCCCTGTCCACTTCCTCAGAAGTAACACTAGGTGACAGTTTTTTTTCCCATATGTTTCTAGAAGTTTTCTGTGTCTCTGTGAATCTTTCTCACCCCTACACATACACAGACAGGAACATGCAACACACTTTTTTCATGTTAGATATATATTGGGAGATGATTCTGTATCTGCAGATAAAAACTTTCATTACTCTCTTTTATGGATTTAAACTTTTCATTATATAAATACCATAATTAACTAGTCTTCAGTAGAACGATATTGTATTGTTTTTATTCTTTTGCTGTTCAGCTACAGCAGACATTCTTGTATTTATCTTTGTATACTTGTGGAATTATATGATTGAGCTTTATTTAGTATGTATTAATTTTAACATTTCCCAAAACTGTTATGCTTATAAATACAAAGTAAAAATTGACTTGTATTGTGGTTTTAACCATCCTGTCATTGTTTATTCTTACTAAATATTTAAGGCTGAATTAATTTAAATACCGAGCATTTCTTTGGCAAACCACATCTTATAAAGATTTCAGACAAGTTTAAGCTTTAGTATGTAATTTAAAAGTTTCAGTTCTTCAAAAATGTTGACTATTCAATAGTTTCTATATTTGGTGAAATAGATTCTTGTGGTGATAACCCTAATTATAGAGGTAATCTGAATTGTTTTAATCCATAAAGCACTGCATTTTAAATTAATACTTTATTCTTTTGAAAGATTTGAGATAGTTTTTGAAGTACTCAATTTTATTGTGAAGCTGTAGGTTAAGTAGGTTCAAAAAATAAGTTAAAAAAGATTATGATAATGCTATATGATAGTAATAGAGAAGAAATTTTAAACTAAAATGACATTCTGTCAGCTATTTCAGTGTGGAACCAAAAATATGTAGTTTAGTGAATTTATTGAATTTTGGATATGTTTCTTTTTTGGAACTTGTACCACCAAGTACTTGAGGTACTTTTGTTTTAAGTCATACAAGGTTGAAAAGGAGCTAAACTTAATTTCCTTAATACATTAGTTTGCATTTTCTTTGTGTCATGTGCTCTTTTGAGGATCTGGTGGGATTTTCTCTCCTGAGAAGTACAAATAAGCACTTGCATGCACAGTCTTGCATGAAATTCCTATCATATTCTAGAAGAAATTTAGAGAGTATCTTGGATTCTTGTCAGTAAGATTTGTTGTATCAACTTAGAAACACTTTCATTTTAGCCCATATTATACAATCAATTTCTGTAATTTTTATGTTTACTTATGTATTAAGCCTTGAAGATTCAGTTTAAGGAGATTTATTTTTTTCTTTTTACTGAACATGAAGTTACTTCATAAGTGCCTTGATTGGATGATTGGAACTATTAGTAATTTACCCCTCAAATTATATCTAATAATCTAAGCATTCATTGTGCTTTCCTAAAAACAATCAAGTCCTGATCTTTTCTGGATCATTTGAACTTAAATGGAGAAAAGGCAGAGCATCTATGTATTATGAGTCACTGCCAATCAAAGATATCAGAAATACTTCTCTAAAATTAATGTCATATTTAATATATGATAATTTGCTTCTATAATTCCTTTCAGGAGCATACCTATTGAATAAAATATAGTGTATGTGTATTGATTTTTGATAATGTATACACATATTTCAGTTGTTTTGAATCTACCTTTATAAAAAGCTTTTGGTACTATTTTATTACAGTTATTACTTTTTAATTTTTTTTTTTTTAAGATGCAGGATCTTGCTGTGTTGTCCAGGCTGGTATCAAACTCCTGGGCTCAAGTGATCCTCCTGGATAGCTGGGATTATATGCATGTACCACTGTGCCTAGCACAGTCATTACTGTTTAATGATTAATTGAAAACATTGATTAAGCACAGAGTATTCTTAAGCAAACTGGTCTTCACTTTTTAGAATCTTCTTATTACGAAGATTTACATACAGAATTTAGCAGTTTTAGCCAGTATTCCCTAACTATGCTTAGGTTCCTTCCAAATTAGGACAGGTGTAGATATTACTGACCAGAAGTTACTGCTGCAAAATTTCTGCTCTCTATTTTTATGTATTAAAGCTGGTAAGATACACCAGAGAGATAGCAGACAAGCAATGTGGATGGTTGTGAATCATAAACCAGAAAATTTGAAAGAAATTATCTTAAAAAAAAAACAAGTTCCTGGTGAAAATTTACATATGTTTATGACTTTGAATGCACTTTGTAATAATACTACTTAACATCTTTTCTTTTTTATTTGATAATTAGGGAAAAACTAACAGCTTAATTCTTACAGTTGGTCAAGTCTGCAGTTTTCTTGTGAGGCCCTCAGATAATACTCCTGGCGATTATTCACTTTATTTCCGGACCAATGAAAATATTCAGCGATTTAAAATATGTCCAACGCCAAACAATCAGTTTATGATGGGAGGCCGGTATTATAACAGGTAAATCATAATTTTTTAGCTATCTTTTACTTTTCGCAAAAATAGTTGAAATCTTGATAATACAGTATTCAGAGTCAAAATTATATAAAAGTTTCTAACTTCTAAAAATTATAAGACCTTCAATATAATTTCATAGTAGTCATGCCCAAGAATTCTTTAGACAGTGTCAAATATGAATACAAATTAGTAACTTATACTTTGTTTCCTTCCAAAACAATTTTTGTGATTTTAAAAATTAGACATAAGCTGTTTGCAACAAATTTACTAAATCCATGTGTTATCTGTAGGAGGAGCAAAATATCTTAGGAAAAGAAAATATATCAACATTATTTTATCAGTGAGATACTTTAGTAGGAAAAAAAAAGTTTCTAAAGATACCTGAGACTTATTATACAGATGTTATCATGTAACTGAGTTCTTCTCAAGTTGACATTTCTTACATGTGATTGTTGGTTTTTACTTCTCACTTTCAAAGTAAACTCATTGTTTGTCCCAAAACTCAGAATGAATTATAGTTACTTGATTAGGAAAATAAGTTAATAGAAGAAACCATATGATAGAATGTCAGCAATTTTTCAGTCAAATAGAAAATAATCTTCATTTGTGAACGTAAAGGTTTTCCTATAACTAATAACTCTCTATTTCCTATTTCAGAGGCTGGCATAATCTTGTTCTAAAATGCTTATATTTGCCTAGTTTAACCCCTCAGTACCACAGCAGTATTCTCTATCTGAATTAGAATTTGTCAAACTAGACATTTGAGTGAATAGAGATTCTGTAGCTTGTTTATCTGAAAAAAACCAAAAAACAAAAACAAGTTCTTCTAGTTGCTTGCTGGAAGCTCAGTTGACTGTTAAAAGACATCAAATGTAAGATGTGAGTCTAGGCAGCTGTACCCTTTTGCCTACCTCATATACAGGTTGCTTGAGTACTTTATACATGACAATCTGAGTTCTAGATGTCCTCACTGAAAATACAGCTAGCTGCAATTTGAGTTCTTTAAGAATGTAATTTTTCCCAATTCCAGTTTTCTGGAGATTTAGAACATACAAAATAATGCACTGAAAATATATCATCTTCTTAACTGAATAAATGTCCATATTGAGATCCTTTTTAAAGATAAAATAATTTACATGAATTTATTTTTTTGAAGTTCGTTTTGTTACTAACTTAAACTTCCTTATGATACATCACACAAAACTGGAAATTCTTCCTACATACTGGAGGAAGTCGGTAAAACATGTAAAGGTAGTCGCTTTTGGTTGCTGAACACCATGATGGAACATGAAAAAAGAAGTATTTTAAGTAGATTTCTGTCCAAATTATTGCAATATTATGTTTTCAAAATGAGGATTAAAAAAAAAAAGTTAAATGTATGTTAATTTAGTGGCCTTGACCATTCCCCCAGAACTTTGATTTTTATAATTTTTCTTCCCTGTGAATTTGTTTATAAATTCATCTTATTGTTTCTAGTTTTAACATTAAACTTCTTTAAAAAGCCCCAAATTATGTGAATCAGGTGCTGTGAAAATGAAGGATTTTGTAATTGTTTTGGAAATATATATTTCATTTCAGCATTAATGTTAGTAATGTCAGAAATAATTCCTAGGAAGATAAATCTTTGTGCTTATTGTTTATTGTTAGATCTAAATGTATAAAGAAAGATTTTTCAATAAATCTGTCGAACACAGCCATACTCTGCTGTCCCATCTCCCCATTAACTAAACATGAGACCTTGATAAAGAGGGATAGTAGTTATGTCTTTCATTTAGAAACTGTTAAGACATAACTTTAATGTTCCTATATTCAGAGTTTTAAAAAAAAAAAGCAGAAGAGGCATTTAATAGCAAATTTAATTCAGCAGCCATTTATCGACTTATCTACTTTGTGAAATATACTGTACAAATTCTGTGTAAATACATTAAAGAAAAAGATATAGTTTCTTCTTTATTAGTGCTCAGGTTTATTAGAAAAGAAAGTATGGTATGCAGAATGTGATAAATTCAGGGGATATATAAATGCATGGGAATCAATAAATGAGAGTTCAGTGGGGGGTGAGAAGGAAGACAATGGATTTTGGCTAGACCTTGAGGAGACAATATTAACATTTATCTAGACTTGAAGAAGAAGAGTGCACATGGTTTTATGTGCTAAATGCATTACAAAAATTAAAATACAGAACACAGTGTCTCTAGAAACTCACGTTTATTTCAAAAGTAAGTTTACATTGAATATGCTTTAGTTTTCTGAGATGTAAATCTGTCTGATTTCATGGCTGGAACTTATATGAATGTCTAGAAAATTCTGGTTTATCTCCCCTGACTGTTTATTTCGGTGTTTCTGCGTAGAGTATAAATGGAAGAGTAATTTTTAAAAAAACTCTTAAGTCTAGCTCATTGGTAAAAACCTATCTGATTGGTTGCCACACACTTTTAAATTTGCTCCTGGACAATCTGAACTGTACTTCCCCATGGTTTCCTGTTCTCTCAGTTTATGAAAAACAATTATATTGTAACATTGAGGTGCTACAGTGGATTGATTGTATTTTACAGTTACTGAGCCCAAAAACCTTTGATGTTTACTGATTTTCATAGATTTGGTGCTTTTTGCTTTAAAACACATAGTCATCTCTTTAGTGGAATCTAGCTATCTTCAAATATATTTCCTGATTTTCATTTTTCTTTTAACAATTTTGGATTTATATGGTATTAGATTTTTTTATTAAAAACATAAAATCTTGCTTGTTCTTTTAATAATGCTTTTATTTATCTCATTTTCACCACACCCCTCTGTGGCTTGTGTTAAATGCTGCTTCTGGTATTAAGTTCATTCATACACTACTAGTTAACTTTTCAGGTCCTTTTGTTTTGGTTTTTAACATTACTTATATTTGGTTTAAATTAACTTTGTAGTATAGGGAAGATAACATACTTGAAGATACACACACACACACATATATATTCTAATTATATATATATAGAAGGTTAAACAAAATCTGTCTGGAGAAGTGTTTCCTAGGTGGCTCAAAAGTTCCCATTTGTCCAGTATATTAAAGGAAGGTTTAAAATTCCAAGATTTCCATATTCAGGACAATAGAATGATCTTACTGATTATAGAGAAACAACTTTATATTTAAAAAAATACGTGGTTCACTAAAATTTATATTAAAATACAGTATGTCATTTTATTTTTTTGTAATATTTTCCCAATATTTCCCAATTTGTAGCACTTTTAATCAAAATAATAAGCTTTTCTCCCTATAGTGATAATCCTACATGTAAGATTAGCTGGGGGTTTTTTTCTTCTTTTTGCCTGCTTTTCATGTGTTTTATGACCTGTTTCTGATATAAAACCAGTATGTGTAAATGTGATAATAAAAATTCTTAATTTACCTGAACTCTGCTTCCTAAATAAATGCCATGTTTCTGTGAATTCTTCATTCTTAGTATCTCATATATACTCTTGGGGGTGAAAAAAAAGGTAGACTTTTAATCATTTCCTCATTTATGGTGACTCTTTGAATATGGTATTGTTGACCTGGCTGCCCACTTGATGGGTATGGAAAATCAGAATCTGGGCCATGTATTCTGGCCTGTAAATCTATATTGAGAACATTGTTTTTTCTAAAATAATATGAATGTTATGATCATTTATTCTATTAATGTATTTGTGTTATGTGCTTTGAAAAAAATTTGCTAATTAGATAATCCTTGGCAAGAAAGTTTACACATATTTTTAAAGATTTTGCAGTTTTATGAGACAGATTAATACTAGAAATTTTTATTTTAACAGCATTGGGGACATCATAGATCACTATCGAAAAGAACAGATTGTTGAAGGATATTATCTTAAGGAACCTGTACCAATGCAGGTCAGTGTTGCATTTCTTATTGCAATAATTAGCATTTTATTTTAAAATGCATTTTGGTGGTATGTTTTTGCACACATTTGTACAATTCAAATTGGATACAACTTAAAACTACAGATTATTTAGATTTTTTTAGAAAGTCAACTGTAAGAATCTTTTAGTTTTTATCTATGTTGATTTTAGGTAATCAGGAACAACCTAGTGGCTTTTTGAGATTAGAAGCAGTCGTGGAGGAAGGTAAGTTGCAGTAGGTCCAGGAGTGAGTTTTTTGGAGGCAAAAGTAGAGACAGCAGGGATAAACCACAGCCAGGATTATTAAAGCCTGGGGAGTAATAAAAGGAAATAAAAAATACTGATAGAAGAGGATTAGGGCAAAAAATGGTTTACACTTTTTCTTTGTTTATTTGCCTGTAGTTTTACGGTGAGAGGATTTGAGAATGTCTGTATACTCTGAGTGAAAACTGTATAGTAGTAAAGAGGAGAGTGAAGTTGTATGGGGAGATGGGTGGTGGCAATGTCTTACAGACAGGGTCCTAGACAAAAGTGAATAGAATCTAGAACATAAAAGGAAAGATTGGCCTTGAGCAAGAGAGCCTGTTAAATGTTAGTTGCTTAACGCTTAGGGTGATTAGCTTCTGTTTCTTCCTCATTGCACTTTCTGAAGTATATGGTAGGGAAATGGTATAACAGGGGTTAGAAAAAGGTGCTTCAAAAGACGGATTAATAATTTTCCTAAGTGGAAAATGGAGGTACTGTTATTCTAGGGACATAAAGGATTATTAAGGGTTTTGGGTACCCAGCTGCAATTGTACAGTGATTTGTAGTGTGCCTAGTTTCTTGATGTTTCCTCCTAACAAATTCATTTCACATGGCTATAGCTACTACTTATTGCAGTTAATTGGTGGGGGGTGGGGTGGGAGGTGAGGAATCATTAATCTGAAGCTAAAGATAAATTCAAGAATCATAATCTTGTCACATTTTAACATACAGGCACACTTCATTTTATTGTGCATTGCCTTATTATGTTTCAAAGATAGTTTTTTTTACAAATTGAAGGTTTGTGGCAAGAAGGACGTCTATTGCGACTGTTTTTCCAAAGCAGGTGCTCATTTGTGTCTTAGTGTCACATTTTGGTAATTCTTAAAATGTTTCAAACTTTTTCACTATTATATGTTATGTTGATCTGTGATCAGTGATCTTTAATGTTACTATTGCAATTGTTTTGGGGTGCCATGAACTGCATCTGAAGAAGACTGCAAGCTTAATCGATAAATGTAGTGTATGTTCTGACTGCTTCATTGACTGGCTGGTTCTGTTTCTCTTCCTCTCCTTGGGGCTTCCTATTTCTGCAGACACAACACTATTAAAATTGGGCCAATTAATAACCCTACAGTGGCCTCTAAATGGTCAAGTGAAAGGAAAAGTCACATGTCTCTCACATTAAGTCAAAAGCTAGAAATGATTAAGCTTAGGGAGGCATGGTGAAAGCCAAAATAGGCTGAAAGCTAGGTCTCTTGCACCAAACAGCAAAGTTGTGAATGCAAAGGAAGAGTTGTTGAAGGAAATTGAAAGTGCTACTCCATTGAACACATGAATGATTAATAAAGTGAAACACCCTTATTGCTGATATAGAGAAAATTTGAGTGGTCTGGATTGAAGATTAAACCAGGGATAACATTCCCTTAAGCCAAAGCCTATCCAAAGCAAGGCCCTAACTCTCTTCTATTCTGTGAAGGCTGATAGAGGTGAGGAAGCTCCAGAAGAAAAGTTGGAAGCTACCAGAGATTGATTCATAAGATTTAAGGAAAGATGCTATCTCCATAACATAAAAGTGTACGGTGAAGCAAAGAAACTGTAGCAAGTTACCCAGAACATCTAGCTAGTTTTCCAGAAGATAACTAGCAAGTTATCCAGAAGATAAGTATTGAAGGTGCTAAACAACAGATTTTCAGTGTAAAGAAAACATCCTTCTATCTGAAAATATTATCTAGGACTTTCATGGCAAGAGTTAATGCTTGGCTTCGAAGCTTCAAAGGTCAGGCTGACTGACTCTTTTCAGGGGCTAATGCAGCTGGTGACTTTAGGTTGAAACCAATTATCGTTGACTATTCTGAAAATCCTAGGAGCATCAGAATTATGCCAAATCTACTGTGCCTGTGCTCTGTCAATGGAACTACAAAGCCTGCATGATAGCCCATCTGTTTACAGCATGGTTTACTGAATATTTTAAGGCCACTGTTGAAACCTACTGCTCAGAACAAACAATTCCTTTGAAAATGTTACTGATCACTGACAATGCACCTCTACAATCAAGAGCTCAGATAGAGATGTACAAGGAGATTGTTGTTTTCATGCCAGCTAACACAGCTTATATTCTGCAGCCCATGGATCAAGGAGTAATTTTGACTTTCAAATCCTTAGTTAAGAAATAATTTCATAATGTTATGTTTGCAAAAAATAGTGACTTATGGATCTGGGCAAGGTACATTGAAAACCCTTTGGAAAGGATTTATCATTCTAGAGGCCATTAAGAACATTTGTGATTCATGGGCAGAGGCCAAAATAACAACATTAACAGAAGTTTGGAAGAAGCTGATTCCAACTCTTTTGGATAACTTTGAGGGGCTCAAGACTACAAGATGACTTTGAGGAGGAGGTAGCTGCAGATGTGGTACAAGTAGCAGGAGAACTAAATTTGGAAGTGGAGCTTGAAGATGTGACTGAATTACTCCACTTTTGTGATGAAACTGGAGCGAAAGAGGAGTTGCTTGTTACGGATGAGAAAAGAAAGTGGTCTCTTGAGATAGAATCTACTCCTGTGAAGATCCTGTGATCGCTACTGAAATGAAAACAAATAATTTAGAATATTCTATAAACTTAACTTGATAAAGCAGCAAGAGGGTTTGGGAGGAATGCTTCCAGTTTTGAAAGAAGTTCAACTGTGGGTAAAATGGTATCAAACAGCATTATAGGGAATTTCTTTTGTGAAAGAAGAGTCAATTGATGCAGCAGACTTCATTTTTAAGAAATTGCCACAACCACCCCAACCTTTGGCAACCACTGCCCTAATCACTTAGCAGACATCAGTATCAAGGCAAGACCCTTCACCAGCGTAAAGATTATGACTCACTGACGTCCTAGATGATTGTTATTTTTTTTTTTTTTTCTCCCTCCGGAGTCAGGGTCTTGCGCTGTGGCTGAGGCTGGAGTACAGTGGTTCAACTGTAGCTCACTGCAACCTTGAGCTCCTGGGCTCAAGCAATCCTCCTGCCTCAGGCTCCCCAGTAGCTAGGACTGCAGGTGTACACCACCGTGCCTAGCTAATATTTTTTGTAGAGATAGAGTCTTGCTCTGTTGCCCAGGCTAGTCTTGAATTCCAAGGCAGAAGCCTTGGTCTCCCAAAATGCTGGGATTACAGTTGTGAGCCACTTTGGTTGCCCCAACAGTTTTTAGTAATAAAATATTTTTAAATTAACACGTGTACATTGTTAGACATAATGCTATTACACACTTAGTAGACTACAGTATAGTTGTAAACATAACTTATACGTGCACTGCGAAACCAAAAAATTCATATGGCTGGCTTTATTGTGGTGGTCTGGAGCCAAATCTGAAATACCTCCAAGGTATGCCTATATTTTCCTTCATTCCCGCATGCTTTCCTAGTAGAATTTAAGGTCTATGAGAACAGAGATTTTTGTTTGCATTGTTTTTTCCCAGTGCTTAGAACAGTACCTGACATTAGATATTCAATAAATATTGATTGAATGAATGATTCTCTGCTTTCCAGCAAGAAATACCTACTTTACCCTTGCCTGTATTGTTACTAAGGTCTTACACTTTAATGTGCTCCTTCCTATCACCATGTCAGTCTTCCTCTCTGCCTATCTAAATACTATTTTAACATCCATCTTGTTTCACTTTTTGAGTAATTTTTTTTTTATTACCGCAGAGTAATTGGAAGAGAAGTTAGCCAGAACATATAACATACACACACATATATAAATATATATATGTTTTATATATGTGTATTTTTTAAATAACATGGGTGAGTGCTTTTTAGACCATGGCTAGGATCTTTTTTCAGGATCAGAGGTGCCTTTGCCTCCAGATGACGGATCCTGCCATATAGTTCCATTGCTGTATCCTCAATTCTAATTCCCCTTGGCTCTTTGAGTTAGTGATTTTAATTTTATTTGACCCCAAATTAAATCATACATTTCCCCATACTGAATTTGTACTTAGAATTTTCTAATTTAAGTTTTGATCAAGACCATCCTGGCTAACACGGTGAAACCCTGTCTCTACTAAAAATACAAAAAATTAGCTGGGTGTGGTGACATGCCCCTGTAGTCCCAGCTACTCTGGAGGCTGAGGCAGGAGAATCGCTTGAACCTGGGAGGTGGAGGTTGCAGTGAGCCGAGATTGCACCACTGCACTCCAGACTGGGAGACAGAACGAGATTCCATCTCAAAAAAAAAGAAAAACAAATAGTATGTGGCATCTAATAAACTTGCAGTATGTGTTATAAGACTGCTTTAAGAATTACTTGAGATATGTAATGTGCCTTGCTCTTGTGTTAGTTTTATAACTGAACAAACCTCCAATTGGTTTTGCAGAAGTGCCTATAATGCTTTGAATACTTCAGAAATAATTGATGCTGATTATAAAGCAATTTGATTGATTGCTACACAGAAACTATTAAGTGCTATTTGTAGTCTATTATTTTGGAGCATGGGGTGATGAAAAGTTGGTTTTAGTAGAAGTTTGGGGAATAATAAAACTCACTCATTCTTCAAGCAGGGTTTTAACTATTAGTACAAAAGCAATACTATCTTTTTACTAATCGCCAAATTGATTAGTTAGCAAATCACCTCATCTTCCAATGAGGTGACCCTGTGTACCCACACTCAGGCTAAGATGCTGGCAAAGGCTAAGAAACAGCAGAGTCCTAGCTAGCTTTGCTTACTTCCTGGAACTGTTAACACTTTTTGAGGCAAGCATTAGACAAAAAGGGTCCTTTTGAGACAATATACCCCATAATAAAAATGCCTTACATTTTTGAGCACTATATTTTAAGCACTGTTTTTTATACATATTCATTCATTTAATTTTCTCAACAACTTTACCAAGGTGACACTACAATGATGCCTATTTCAAAGATAAGGCAACTGAGAGCTGAGAGGTTAATAACTTAAATCATCCTCAATTCTTCTCTTTTTTTCTTCCTGTACTTTATATCTAACCTGTCAGGAAGATCATACTGACTCTGTCTTCAAAGTATGTCTAGAATATGACCACCACCAGAATCTGCCTTCATCTCCTAGTTTCTAGCTTTGTCCCCTTATGCTGCATGCTGCGCAGCAGTCACTGGGATCCATTTAAAATGTCAGATCGTGTTACTCCTCTGTTTTAATACTTGAAAATGTTCTCCATTTCTTTCAGAATAAAAGCCAAAGTCCTTAGAATGGCATACAAGACCCAACAGTGGCAGTCCATTAATTTTCTGAACTCGTCTCTTCCTACTATCCTCCTGCCACTCTTTTTCACTCATACTTGCTTCTGTATTATTATTTGTAAATAAGCCAGACTCTTTCCTTCCTTAGGATCTTTGCTGTAGCTGTTCACTGTGTCCAAAATTGTTTTCTCTTGGATATCCACTAGCCTCACTCTTACATCTTTCAAGTTTTTGCTCAAAATTTAGCAAATTAGCAAATGACACTTTACCTAGACACCTTAATTAACACTGCAACTTGCTCAACCCTGCGGAGCACTTACCTTCTAACATGTAGTACAATTTATTTATTTATGTTTATTTTTAATCTTTCCCTGGTTAGAATACAAGTTCCATGAGGATAGGGGTCTTTGATTTGTTCACTGATGTATCTCAAGAACTACAACAGTGCCTGAGACTCAACATTTATTGAATTAATATATTAAATGGCGTTTTCCTACATTAAGTGACAAAGCTAGGATCTGCAAGTTAAGTCTGTCTTCAGGAGCTTACACATGTAACTTCTAGGGAAGAGCTTGGTTCAATGGCTGTTAGACTCTAACCAATCAGATTACTGAATTTCCCTTGGGAGGAATGTAAAAAATCTAAGAACTATCTCTCAGGCTGAGAAAAGGAACACGTAGAGAAGCCTTTCTCCTCTCATTGACTAGGACTTGAAAAGTGATGTTGTGTTTTTGCCCATAGCATCTTCTAGTGTATTGGAATCTTTTAGGATTTGTGGGCTAGTCCCCACTTTAATATGATTTTTAAAAGATCTATATAGATTCCAAGATCTATATAAAATCTTGGAATCAAGTATTTAAATCCAAATATTAGTGTGGTTACATGTCTTAAATGACAGACTCCAAGAATGTTCCATTCTGCAGCTAATACTAAGTGCCATCACCATTGAACTAAAGATTTGATAAATACAAATCTGTATTACCAGGAAAGTAAAGTCATCACTATTTGTAACATCATGGTCCAGTGTACCCTTTTAATTTTTTTATATTCCTAAGTCATTTTACAAATAATTCGCATCACCAAGATTAAGGGTATAATCCAAAAACAACTTCATTGGAAAATGTAGTAAGAATTTAAATGTAGCGTACCCAAATTTTTGTTCCATGTTTTCATGTCTAGAAAGGTTTACGTACCTGAAATGGACAGTCTTTTCAATGCAACTAACAGTTCTTCACCCTTCGTGCACAGACCTGGAACACAGCCATCTTGTAAACTCTGATTCCAGATTTGAAATCAGATACTTGTCTAATAAGTTCTATTTGTAATTACTTTGGTTCTTCTTGCATTGTATCTATCATATCAATTCCAGATTTTAAGTACATCACTACTGGAATCTAGCTTATTCTTTCTTGTTTTTGTATTATCAAAATGCAGTTTTTTTTTTTTTTTTTGAGATGGAATTTCGCTCTTTTTTGCTCAGGCTTGGAGTGGAATGGCATGATCTCAGCTCACTGCAACCTCCGCCTCCTGGGTTCAAGCGATTCTCCTCCCTCAGCCTCCCATGTAGCTGGAATTACAGGCACGCGCCACCACGCCCAGCTAATTTCATATTTTTAGTAGAGACAGGGTTTCACCATGTCGGCCAGGCTGGGCGAACTCCTGACTTCAGATGATGTGCCCGCCTCGGCCTCCTAAAGTACTGGGATTAAAGGCGTGAGCAAAATGCAGTACTTTTGAAAACTCTGATGGCTCATAATTTTGTTGGAGAGTACAGTGTCCATTGCTCCATAATTGTAAAATATTTTTGTTTAGATTTTAAAACACCAGTTAACATTGATGTTTATAAGAGTGATCAATCCAGTGAATTTTACAATTTCTATATGTTTACTTTCAGTAATTTTTTATACAAAGGCCCTTTAATATTTGCCCATTCACAAATCATATTAAGTAAATTTTGATGTACATACAAAAATTTAGTCTCATTTCTTTTTAGCAAAACAGGATAATAGAAGTAATATGGTTCACTCAGTGATTGAGTTTGAGAAAATTCAAGTATATCATCATCTGAAAAATCACAGTCTGAGGTTTATCAAAATCAATTCTGCCATCATGATAAGAGTCTAGAGTGCTGCTGTTTCTTTGCATTCGTTTTCTGATTTTTCTAATTGTCAAACATCTTCCTGGATCAGTTTTTTTCTCTTTATCATTTATGAGCAGAAAATAAAGAGTTCTGAATATTTTAAGTATGTTCAATCAAAGCTAAAAAGACAGCAAAGATGGCCTTTTATGTTTTTACAAAAGATGCCGCAATACTTTGCAACACAGTTACACACACACATACACACACACCCAGAGTGATGCAGTAGAGATTATTTATTTCAGTTATATCATCCTCTAGGCCAGCGGTTGGCAAAAGTTTTCTGTAAAGGGTTTTGCAGTTCATTTAGTGTGTCCACTAAAGTCTGTCTTTTTATCTGGAAGCAACCACAGACAGCATGTTAGGGAATGAGCATGGCTGTGTTCCAGTAAAACTTTATGTATAAAAAACAGGTGGTGGACTGGATTTAGCATGCGTGCCACAGTTTGTCAGCCCTGCTGTAAGCAATTCATTCTTCTATTTTCTTATTATTTTAGTAATTTTGTAGCATTAACTTGGGAATAATTCTGAGTAATGATGAAATAGTTCCTAGGATGATGAAACAGCATAATGTTTCAAGATAGAGGATTATGAAAATCCCACAGCATAACTTAGATTTATAAGAGGATTGAATGGATCCATGAAGTTTGTAAGATGGACTAAAAGTCATAAAATATGAATCCTTGCAAAATAGTAAGAACTACTCAAAAAGGAAACCAAAAAACTAAAACTGAGTCCAATTGACCTTAATAGTAAAATTGAAGATTCATTTATTCTGGAAAGATCATGATAAAGGCATCCTGATATAATTCTTTTCCTCAGGAGATTTAGCAATTAATGTAAGTTCTGCTATAATGTAACATATGCATTCCTAAAAATCATAGCATTATGCAAAATTAGGCAATCAAAACCACAGGGCTTTTGAGAAAAGTGAGGTTAGGGGTGTTAACACTTAGAAATTTCATCAGGGATACATTAAGAAAGAACCTAATATAAATATGTTGCTTAGTTTTATACATTTTTTTTTAAGAAATATGTACATCCTACAATAAATATGGCAATTTACCTTGAAAAAAGAGGTACATTACATGAGGAAATGGCCATTGGTAGAGTTGAAGCATGGGAATGTTGCAGAGTGGCAGAGGAGGATTATCTGAAATCATGGTTATAACACCAGCTGTGGATGGATGGGTGTGGCATGTGACACACTTAGTGGATTGAGGGAACTGTTAGGTATTTGAAGTGTGTATGTTTTGTTCATTCTCATGTCTTAGTTCACCTGGTACGGTTGTCTGTATTCACCTAGCATTTCTCACAGACACAATTGTGCATAGGCAAACATGAATTTGCTTTATGCTTACATTGGTTCCTAATCTACCAGTTATGCTGGGACAAGTTTATGTTTTTAAAACATGATTTGCTGTAAAATATAACTGACTGTATTCGAAAATAGCTTATTAGGTATCCATGGAAACAGACAACTTATTAGTTGTTCTTGGGATTGGCAAGGAAACCTTTCTGTGAACTTTGTTGTCGGTGTTCTTCGAAATTATAAGGAAGCATTTCTGAGAATTTCTTTGGAAAGCAAAAGATCATTTATGTGTTATGTGTATCTAGATTTTAGTATTTTAAGCGCTTTGGCTTTTAATTGGTACTTTTATAGATTTTTACTTCATTTCCATCAAGAATGTATGAAATAATTTTAATGTTTTTTAAAATTCAGGATCAAGAACAAGTACTCAATGACACAGTGGATGGCAAGGAAATCTATAATACCATCCGTCGTAAAACAAAGGATGCCTTTTATAAAAACATTGTTAAGAAAGGTTATCTTCTGAAAAAGGGTAAGTTCAGACTTTTATCATTAACCCATTTGATAGAGACGTTGTAAATATGGAGCTCCGAACTTATTGTGATATATATTTAATAAGTTTTGACATGAGTTATTAGTAATTGACACTTGTTTAGAGCCCATATATAAGCATTCTTCAAAATTTAGAGTGTAGGTATATTAAAAGTCTACATTTTCAACCAGAATGTTTCTTCTACCCATGGTTTCTTTTTTTCTTTCTTTCTTTCTTTTTTTTTTTTGAGGAACTCCTTATGGCACATGGCACATTCATAATATTGATATTTTACAGATTTACCTCAATTTGACATAACGACATTTTGGGGAATTGTGGGTGGGGGTGTGCTTTATAAAGTGGAAGAATTTTTTCCTTAAGACTGTTAAAGAATTATTCCAAAACAAGAATTCTGACAATTTCATCATGATGAAATCTCTGAAGATATAGTTAAGGTATTCTCAGCATTTACTCTGTGATTAAAACAAGTAATATAACAAAAGGCATTTTTGTACAGATTTGTTATAGGCATTTTCTCATTATGTAAGAATTGGCATATTACATAAGCTTTGGAATAAAAATTGATTGATTCATATTTTTAGAAACACTAATTTTAATAATATGTAGGATTTCACAATTGTTTGGCTAAGAGAAAACAATTTTTTTTTTTAAACAGGCAAAGGAAAACGTTGGAAAAATTTATATTTTATCTTAGAGGGTAGTGATGCCCAACTTATTTATTTTGAAAGCGAAAAACGAGCTACCAAACCAAAAGGATTAATAGATCTCAGTGTATGTTCTGTCTATGTCGTTCATGATAGTCTCTTTGGCAGGTAAGAGACTGGTTTCCTATTTTTCTTTCGGAATTGTCTTAATAATAAAATAGTACAAACAAAGCAAACCAATTTTGAGAGCCCTAAAATCATCTTCTAAAAGTAGCAGATGCACTTTCTAGGTAATTTTTGCCTTCCTTGCTTAATTGTAGACTAATATATACATAAAGTCTACTTCATTGTGTTGCACAGAAATCTTTGGCATGACATTTCCTGTAGTAAAGCATGTTTTGTCCCTGCCCCAACAAGCAATCTTTTGAGTGACTTACTTTGAGTCTTTGTCACCTTTCCTCTGATTTTTTCACATGGTTTAACTCAGTGTACCCAAGAGTACTAGGTGCACTCAATTCTGCTATTAACTCTATAAGCAAGTTCTTAAGAAAGTTAATGTTAAAAAATAATCTTAAAATTGTCTTGATAGGAAAAATGTATTTGAAATTAAAAAAAATTCTTATGTTGACTTCTTGGTTTTGAAACAATGAATATAAATGTATAAGCTGAATCCTAAACATCAGAAGACAAATCCAGCTCTTGATTACATCTAGATTTTTTTCTCAAGAACAATGGCCTTTACCTTTCACCATTAGTATTATCAGTAATCCATCCCAGTCTTTTTAGATGTACTTACCATTTTTATTACCTATTGTTATGATTAGTAAGAGAAAAGACAGTTAAATGTTTCAACAGCTTGTTTTTCTGCCGCAGGATGGCATTTCTGTGAGGCAAATCTACGTTTTATCCTGTTGAAATATTTCTCTTCTTTAAGAGAAATACCTGTAAAATATATAGCCTTGTCATTTCTTTTTTCAGTGTGTTTAGGAGATCACATTAGTGTTACTTGTGATTTTGACAGTTTTTTAAAATGATCAAATAGGTTTGGGAAATGCTGATTGAACAAATAGTTTTACTTATAGCAAGGCTTTTTGTAGCTTTAGCTAGTGTTTATATTGTGAATCTGTAAAATAGTATGAATTACTTCATAAATTCATTTTACGAAGATACCCTTTTTTTTCCCCTGAATACTCACTGATACCTCATAAAGAGTTGTTCCAAAAAACACAAAGATTGCGTGAGGACAGGATTTCTTGAGATTTTTCTGCCCCTCTTTAACAACCTGAGAATCTTAACCTTCAAATGTGGTTGATTCAGGCCTCTGTCTTTTCTTTTTAGTTCTACTCTGCACCCTTCTTGTGGGTTGAATCCTTCCTCAAACCAGTTCCCTACATGGTAGCAAGGTAGCAAACAGCACCAGAGAAAGGGCTGTAAGCATTCACTCCCATAATTATTAAAAAATCTTGAAAACATTCTGTTGAGCCACCTCTCAACCAATTTTTAGTTCTGGGTTACTGAGGTAGCAAAAGGAATGGGATTATCCTGATAGAATGAGGAGACCCTTTTGTGCCTAGATCTGTTGCTGGAAATGATCTCACCCAAATAGTGAGGCTGCTCTACTTACCATATGTATGGGTGAAATGGATGTTGGAGAGGCAACACTATTCACTACTAAATGTAGTTTATTATCGTGAAAACAGTTAAAAACAGTAAAAGTAGAATATTTTGGGAACAATTTTATTGAGATCAGTAATATGAAATAGGTGGCTCTTGATTCTTGGAGGATGGGTATGAATTCAGTTGGATAGTTGAGCAGAGCTTCCTAACCAGTGTTCCATTAATCAGTATAGGTGTCCCCTGAGATACTAGTGGTTGTAAAATCCTATTGTAGTAGAGATATTTAACAAATGTTTTATATTTCAAAAATTATAACACTCGAAATCATATGATCCCTGTATAAACTGTTCTAATTCATTATTTTATTGGGGCAAAAGAATTGATGCATAACACTTGGAGACAGAGAGCTCTTTATAGTGGCTATACCTCAGTACTTCCTACTTTCTTGTTCAATCATCCAGGTACTCTGAATATTACTTTATTCACAGCTTCATTATGAAGCTACCTTTTATGTTCAAGCAGAAATGTCTCATTTTGTTTCTTACCTTTTTTCGATTAACAGAGAAGTTAAAATTGTTTTAATTATCGTAAAATATATAAGGAGGTTCTTGAAAAGAACATAATGAATTTGATATATTTTTCATTTTTACTACTTTATAATTAGCCTTAATGTACAGATGTTAATTTTTCCCACCATAAGGGCAATTTAGTGACTAACACTGGAAAGTCATTAGACTCATAAGATAAAAAATAATTTTAAAAAAATGTAACTCACTTACTAGGACCTGAAAGAAATACATTTAATTGCTAAATTTTTTTTTAATACTTTGAAACAAAGAAGGTCCTATGGAAATGCTAGTTAAGTTTATGACTGATGATGAGGCTTCACGATAGGAACATTTAAAGATTTTATGTCAAGATTATATATATGTTTGTCTGTAGACCTGAATTCCATATTAAATAATATAATGAAATGGAGGCTGTAATAAAATCTAAGCTGCTTCAGTTGCATGTGTTTTCAGTTTTAGGTGAGAAATGGAATCAAAATACCTACTGTTGGATGCTGAAGTATGTTACCTGTCCAAAAGAAAAGTTTTGATAAAAGTTTATGATTATAGGAGAAAAACTTTTGGTGAATGATTCTCATTTTGCAGATTTACTGAAGAATCAGTAAACTTCGTCAAATTATATGTACAATACAAAAAGATATGTGTCTTGACAGTTTATGGATTTAAGGCAGAAATTCAACCTTGGAAAAATGAGGTTAAAAATGATTCACTAATGATACTTACAACTGCAATTAGATGAATCTTAAGGAAGTATTAAGATGAATATTGCAATATCTGTAAGATTGAAGAAAAGCTTTAGCATTATTTTGATATAGTTTATATGAACAGATGCAGTTAGATTGGAAGTCTGTTGGCACAATCAAAAGAAAGGTCCACATTACACTTGATGGTAAAAGAGAAAGAATTGCCAGAGTAAAAAGAAGGATCAGATCCTTGAAGCACAAGTTGAAGATTGTGAATGATTCCTATTCTGGTTAGTAACAAGAAAGGAGTTTCTGTCTGGTAGGGGGAAAGCAATAAATATACATTTACCACTTGCTGTAAGGTTGTAGCTTGCTTCTTGTACAGTTTCTTGTTGAAGGTGACTTAAAGAATTTGAAGACATTAGAAAAAGTCTTTGTAATGAATTATATTTAATGATACCAGGTCTGAAACCTAGTATGAAAAAGTTATGTTCATGAGAACTAAACTCAAGTCTCTCATTTAGAAAACAGATTTTTCTTTTAAGACTGGGCGCAGTGGCTCACGCCTGTAATCCCAGCACTTCGGGAGCCCAAGGTGGGCTGATCGCTTAAGCTCAGGGGTTGGAGACCAGCCTGGGCCTACATGGCAAACCCCGTCTCTTTAAAAAATTAAAAAATTAGCCAGGTGTGGTGATGCACACCTGTGGTCCTACCTACTCAGGAGAGTGAGGTATGAGGATTGTCTGAGCCCAGGCTCACAACTGCCAGGATGTTGCAGTGAGCTGACTGTACCACTACACCCATGGCAGAGTGAGGCCCGGTCTCAAACAAAACTAAACCAAAAACAACAACAAAAATTTTTTTTTCAAAGTATGCTACTTTATTATTAACTATTTTTTTTAAAGTGCCTTCCTGTGAAATAGAGAAGCACTTAGTGAGAAAGACTGAATGCCAAGGCAAATAGCATTAACAAAGTACATTTCAAGGAAATGAGAAGACATCTGTACCATATAATAGGACAAGTAGAAAAATAGGTTGATAAATTATGTATTACCATAGGATGCAAATACCAGAGGACAAAAGGGGAAATTATAAATGAATGTTAATATCTTTTTCTTTATTATCAAATTAATGCCAGGCATTGAACATTTCCTGCTTTGTGTACACATAGAACCTGATATGCTGACCTTTAGCATTTAGAAGAAGACTAATGTGAAAGTTAACAGCCACCTTGTGCAGTAGGTGATTAGTGCGCATGCTCAGCCTGATGCTGAACGAATGTTGGATGGCAATGCTGTTTTCTTGCATGGCTTTAGTTGCACAGCTGTGCAATTTTTCCAGATTATTTTCAATATTAAGAGATCTCTAAGCACTCCATTTCCTTGTATTAAACTTCTAACTTTTAATACTGCATTACTTAGAAAGATGTCTTAGTGACACAAAGTTATTCTAGTGACTATCCATGTGGTAATTAATTTTTACACCATCTTTTCATAGCTGGATCTCACTGTGGTATTTATTGCTTTACATTTATTTATGAAAATGTTTTGCTGGATATTAAATTCAAGATTGGCAGTTATTTTGCCATTTTAAAGATGGTTTTCTGCCTTCCAACATTTTCGTTGTCATTCAAATTGTTTCTGTTTTAGAGGTAATGTATCTTTGTCTTTTCTCTTAGAGGTAATGTATCTCACACAACTTTCTCTGGATGCTTTGAGATTTTTCCTTATATTTTTAGTGGGAAAACTAAAATGTACCAACTATAAATTAAAAAAAAAATTATCCTTAGGTTTGTAGTGCTTCATCAATCTGAGACCTGATGTTCTTTGTCAGTTTTAGAAAACTCTTGGTTAGTATCTGTTTAAATGTTTAGTATCTAATTTAAACAGTTGTTCTGCCACATTCCTTTTTCTTCTTGGAGTCTGGTTAAAAAAAAAGTTGCACTATTTCCCATGCTGTTTTCTGTTTTTCATCCTTTTTCCTCTGTACCAACCTATATATTTTCTTCTGATCTTTCAGTTCACTAATCTTCCATTCTGCAGTTAAATCCACTTTTTCAGGACTTCATTTTATTACATTTTTTTCAATTTAGAATTTCCATTTTTTTAAAGATACAGTTTCTGGCAAAATTCTTGTTACCTATTTTCTTAAACATTTTAATTATAATTACTTGAAAGTCTTGTCTGTCTTCAGTATCTGCATTATATGTATGTCTTTCTGGTTTTTCATCTTAACTTTTAGCCATTTAATCCTGATGCCTGTAGTGTCTACTTAGTTTGACTAAGTGGTAGACATTGTACATGAAAAACTATGGAAACTAATGTTATTGCGTCCAGAAAGAATTGTTCTTACGGATGGTATAGGGTTAGTACATCTTGTAAAGGCTGTTCTATTTCTGGTTTGCCCTTATCATGAAGGCACAGCCCTTCAGGGGTCTCAATGGAAAGCCTGAAATTCATTCTTTTTTCTCCTAGCACTATCAAACTACTGGATTTGTAGTTAATTTTTTAGCCTTTTAGGAACTATTTTCTGCTTAGCGTCTCAGCTACACAGCCAGCTTAGGAACTGGCAACTGCCTTGAACGGAAAAGATGTGGAGAATGTCGGGTTAATTATAGTATGATCTTGGCTCCTCAAATCTTAGCTGCTTTGGTTGTTCTCCAGTGCTTTCAAACAGTTGTTTTTCTGTTTTGTATTACTATTTTAAGTTTTATCCAACTAGGGTGGTTAGTCTGATACAGGCAACATTTAGGATTAGAAGTTTCCAATTCCTATTTTCCATGATTACTTTTAAGACATTCTCAAAGCATGAAAATATAGTCTTTATCTTTAATAAGTGTTAAGCTTGTCCTCTGTGTATTTTTGCTATGGCCTCCTAACATTAGCATGATATAAAATCTTTAAAGCAGGAAACAGAAGTAACATTTATTGAGTTCCAAAAACATGCAGGCCCTTAATAAAGATTTTACCAATATTTTCAAGTCTAGTTGGAAAGATAGCACATTTCCAAAATGATATAAATTATTACCTAATATTGTACTTACATATCAAATGATTTGAAATAATACTAAAGGAAGACAAGAACATTTGTTGTACACAACTGTTCACTTAAACTCTAGAACAAGCATATGTATGAAGAGATGATGTTTCCATTTTAACAGGTGAAGAAAAATGATCAGTTTAGAAAAATTTGAAAATACAGAATCACCTACAATCTCCTTAGAGATAATTACTTAGAACATTTTTGGTCTAAGAACATTTCTAGTCTTTTTCCAGTGCATATAAAGCTTTTCAAATTAGCTGTGTGCAGTTCTAGCAGTTCAGCTTCAATCTGTTTGTAACTTTATTTCTAATGTATTTTACAATTAATTGAAATTTCTTTAGTTTACACTTTGAAATACTGATAACATTTTAATAGTGCTGACATAAAGTTTTCTAAAATATATATAGCTGACTTTTTTTTAGTAATGATCTGGTACAATGGAGTATTATTTCTTTAAGAATTATAATTTTATGTTAATTATTTATTGTGAGTGTTTTGGAAGCTGGTATAAATATTTTGCTACTTTTTATTAAGCTTCCTAATAATTTTTGTTTTTATTTTAAAGGCCAAACTGTTTTCAGATAGTAGTTCAGCACTTTAGTGAAGAACATTACATCTTTTACTTTGCAGGAGAAACTCCAGAACAAGCAGAGGTAAGATTACTGTTTCTCAAACTACAGTATACTTTTATGTTAGCCCATGTTTTCTTATTAACTGGAATAGAAAATGATCGCATTCAAGATAAAGTGACAGAACGCCTGAAATCTAATCATCTCTTATTTTAAGGAATGAGATTTCATATGTAAAAAGTTTTCTGAAAGAAATGCAAAAACAAACACAGTGAAGGGTTATTAGGAATGAAAACTCCATTTTAAATTGACCTTTAAATACTCTATGATGTTGAGGCCAACTGAGAATGCTCATTTAAAATCCTCTCTGCATAAAGGTTATAGGTCATCTCAGTATAATCCAAAGGTAAGCCAGTTAACCAGTTAGTTTTGCTAACAAGCATTATTCTTCACTGGTTGAACTCCATGTCTGAAAATAAAAGTCAGTCAACACAAGGAAAGATATTTTAGGAATCTATTCTCTAAGCCAAGTCGAGATATAATGTCTACTTTAGATTAGCTATTAATCCATGTGCAGTGTCCTTCTTATAGCGTCTATTAAGTAATTGTGTGAAGAAATAATATTTTTTAAAAAACACTCTTTAAAAAATATTTTGCAACAAAGGGAGAACCCACCTCTATAACAAAAGTAAAAAATTAGCTAGGTGTTCTGGCTTATGCCTGTAGTCCCAGCCACTGGGTAGAATGAGGCAGGAAGATTGCATTAGCACAGGAGTTTGAGTTACAGTGAGTAAGATCGAGACACTGTAAGCCAGCCTAGGCAACAAACTGAGACACTGTCTCTTAAAAAATTTTTTTGCTTTCTTTGAACCCTAATATTTCTGGAGTATATGGTTGTATTTTATACAAATACAGCTAAATTTCTGCTTATATTCTAACGAAGGAACTTAAAGGTGGTTAAGAAGTGAAAGTGGCTTTGTTGGAAATATAATTTGCCAACCCTAGATATGAGGAAGATGCTCTTAAAACTAGATCCTAGCGTGAGACTCACAGAATAAACCTGAATGAGCTTACAACTGAACGTCATATTTCACATCTTTATCAAATATCTCATTTAATGCTCATTTCACATGTAATGCACATAAAATTTTACGGCTATGTATCCCTAATTTTTAGATGAGAAAGGTAGTGCTCAAAACATTTTGGTAACTTACATGATTTTTTTAAATGTTAGAAATTGAGTTAGAAATTTAAACTTCAGTATCCTATTTTCTAAGTATTTTACCATGGTCCCTCTTTCTGAATAAAATGTCACATACCATAATGACATTTCAGCATGTTTTGCAAGCCTAACATAGAACATTTTTTAATGTATTTATACATAATATTTCTGTATTTCCATAAATGGTATTTCCAGTTTTTGTTGATTTATTGGGCTGTGGGGGTCTCTGGTTATTCTCTTCTATTTCAAAAAGCTATGGTAACTGATTTGGTTTTAATTTGCTGTAATATAAAGACAGTCTCTAGATATTAATAAAGTTCAGCTTCATTGAAATAGCCAACAAACTAAAGACATAATTGAATAAAGCAATAGTACACAGCTTTCCAGAAATATGTAAAAACCAAAGTGAATATTTAGATTTGTTTTTAATAAACCTTAGTTCTCTCCTTTTCCCCAAAGCACTAGATAAACATTTTAAAAATATGGCTGCAATTTGATTTGAATATTAGGCTAAAATGATTTTTAAAATCTAATGTTATATTTGAGAAGCTTAAAAATAACCCAAATCCCCTTATACATTTCTACCTGTATCATGGTCTAAAGTATAGATTAATATGCTTGTCATGGGATCGGTCATCACATTATCAGTTGGTTTTACAATCAGCACTCTCCCCCTCTCACAAAGTGTATCAAGTTAAATTCCACCTAAGCTTGCCTCAAGTATAACAGCTTAATTATACAGTTAATTTCCCCAAGGTAGTATCTGTTTGGGAGAAATAGTTTCTTTAATGTAAATTTGATTTTTTGGCTAATTAATGGCCACTCGATGTGTTTCATACATAAATTCAAACAAAGATTTATACAGAATTACAATTGTTTTGGTTGTTTTATTATTGTTATTGTTATGTTATTGTTATTTTATTATTGGTTATTGTTATGAAGTACAGTATAGTCTGAGAATAGAAATGGCAGTCTAGAGAAGGAAAAAATTGTTGAATTTGAAAAAAAAAACCTAACTGATGATTTGGAAGCCAAATAAACTAGTGTATATTTCTTTGAAGTGCTGTTTTTCTTTGCAGGATTGGATGAAAGGTCTGCAGGCATTTTGCAATTTACGGAAAAGTAGTCCAGGGACATCCAATAAACGCCTTCGTCAGGTGAAGCTTAATTTTCTTGGATTTTTAATTGTCACATTTTGCTCTAACACTTTGCTCTTTTTATTTTATTTTTATCTGAACTGTTTTGGACATCATATGGGGTTAAGCCATGCTGCCACTTGCTTCAGTAGCAGGAAAACGTTACTTCTTTATGAAAGAGAATGTTCTTTCTTAGTCCATGCCAACTGTTAAAAACATAAGAAAGATTATTCTTCCACTTTAAATAACAACACTAAACCAACACAGCAGAAACGGTTCTGTTGGGCACTTAATTTTCCTTCAAAAACTTATTTTGGCCTCTTTCAAAAAAGTAGAACATTGAAAAGATCATCAGATTTATAGCACTAATCCCAATAAACTTTTTTGGGATTTTCATTTTGAAGAACAGCTTTTAAAACCTACTGCTTAACTCTTAGGAAATATTTAATCTTATTTGAAACTGTAACATGCCCTATACTTTGAGATTTGTGGAGAGTTAAGCTAGGCTTTCTCTTTTTTTTGCCTTTACAAGGGTAACTTTATAACCTCCATTTCTTGGCTTTTTTCTTTTTAGTAATCCCTGTATAATTGGAAGAAGTTAGGCAAATTTTGACATTCTCAAGGTTTAAAGAAAGTTTAGTACAATATTTATTTACTAACCAAAGTGTCTCCTGTTCTCTTTGTGCGAATATCTGATAAGCTGAGTGATTAACATACTGTTCTACTGGGAGTGGATAATGGTTGATATTTAGGTGACTAAATAGTCCCTGTAACCCAAAGTCTGGCTCTTCCCCAGGGAAATTTAAGTATACACACAATCGCCATGTCTTCATAACATTGTAACATTTTGTAAGCTATCAAAAATCAGATTGGATTTTTGCTAATAAGAGCAAGTTGTATTTTGTGTGAAACTTGAGCCATTAAAATGACATTTGCAGGTTTAATATAATCATAGCTAACATCTCTCAAGCACTTTTTATGTATCAGTGGGCAGTGTGATTTAGTGATTTACATATACTGTCAGCCCTTTCTATTCATGGGTTCTGCATCAGTGGACTCTACCAACCATGGGTCGAAAAAATACAATAAAAAGATACAGTATAACAACTATGTACATAGCATTCACATTGTATTAGGTATTACAAGTAATCTAGAGATGATTTACGGCATACAGGGGGGCATGCATAGATTTTATGCAGATACTATGTCATTTTCTATACGGGACTTGAGCATCTTGGGCTTCGTTAGCTGCCAGGACAGAGAGGTGGAGGGTCTTGGAATCAGTCCCCCACAGATACTGAGGGATAACTAGTTTGTAATACTTATTACAACCTGTAGTGTAGACTTTATACTTACATATTAGAAAGATGAGGCTTAGAGGGACGGATTTGTGCAAGGCCACACAAGTAGTATATGGCAAGAGAGAAAGAGAACCTGATACTAGAAGGTGGATGGTCTAAGTTTTGGCATCCAAACTAACAAATAACTTAGTTTCTTTAGGTTTGTATCCTTTCCTGTAAAATAAGAAGGTAAAGTCAGTGTTTTAAAAATTTTTAGCTGTGGAACTCTTTTATAGAAATAGAATCTTCCAGATAAGTATTATATAACATACGGGATTTTAATTTGAGTAGTGACAGTTGTTTACTTATATTAATAAAGAATTTTCTTCTTAACTTCATTTTCTCTTTATCATTGTTTTATGGTAGAAAAGGTGTATTTCATTATTTCTCCAGGAATATACTGGGAGAAATAACTTGTAAAATAAAATTGCATTGTTTTTATCTTTTAGGTGGGAAGAATTATTTTAAATGTCTGAATGTTTTAAGTATGTCATATACAAATATATAACCAAAGCTCACATTTTCTGAAAAAAAAGGGGAAAATAAGTCATTATTTTTGGCTTTGTATCTTAGAGTAATTGCTTTTGAAATGTAGTGCAATTCTAGAAATCTGGGGTAATATATATATATATATTTTTTTTTTTTTAGGTCAGCAGCCTTGTTTTACATATTGAAGAAGCCCATAAACTCCCAGTAAAACATTTTACTAATCCATATTGTAACATCTACCTGAATAGTGTCCAAGTAGCAAAAACTCATGCAAGGGAAGGGCAAAACCCAGTATGGTCAGAAGAGTTTGTCTTTGAGTAAGTCTTATTTTATCATTACATTAATCATTTTCTTTTACCATATTGCATTTCTTTCTGTTTTTTTGGTCTCTGTATCTAAACCATCAGAACAAGGTACCATATCCAGGTGTTCTAATAGCATATATATATATATATATTTTTTTTTTTTTTTTCTGTTGTTTGTTCACCTTTATTTGTGAAGTGCTATGCCCTTGGTTTTTCCACTTAGTTATTAACATGAATTAGCAAGTCAAAAAACATTTACTAACCCACAAATACAAAACATTTACTAGGGTTTCCAGTACTTATTTGAATGAATTATTAGTTTAGGAGGTTAAAGATGGTAGGAAAAGTGTGTAATCTGCGTGTCTTCTGTATACCAAATAATAAAATATGTTGTGAATCTGGTTTTAGGTCTAGCACACTGTTTTTTTTTTTAAAGCAGAAATAGGGGGTTTATTTGATACTAGAACTAAAGAAATAAGGTAGTTTGATGCCAAAACATTTTGTTAATTCTTTTTCTCCTTGCTCCTTTAGTGATCTTCCTCCTGACATCAATAGATTTGAAATAACTCTTAGTAATAAAACAAAGAAAAGCAAAGATCCTGATATCTGTAAGTTGATACAGAAACTTTCTAAAATAGAAAAAGCATGTTTTATATACTTTCAAAATTCACAATGAAAGTCTTAAAATAGAAATTAAAAAAACAGAAATGCAAGTAGTATAATTTGAGATAGTTTCTTTCTGTACTTCTTAAAGTATTGATTATCAAGAAAGAATATACCTAAGATAGAAAAAGACCAATATGGTTCAACTGTACACACTGTTAAGCAATTAAGATTAAAATATTTAGCCACCCTCCTTTCTCCAATGAATAGGAAGAATAAGGAAATGATTACAGTGGTCTTTTTGTAGGGCTTGCCCTCATCCCTTCTTTCTACTTTTTAGGTTTTTCCTGCTTTTTTTTTTCTTTTGAGATGGAGTCTTGCTCTTGTTGCTCAGGCTGCAGTGCAGTGGTGTGATCTCGGCTCACTGCAACCTCCGCCTCCCAGGTTCAAGCAATTCTCCTGCCTCAGCCTCCTGAGTATCTGGGACTACAGGCGCCCGCCACCATACCTGGCTAAGTTTTGTATTTTTAGTAGAGACGGGGTTTCAGCATGTTGGCCAGGCTGGTTTCAAACTCCTGACCTCAGGTGATCTGCCGGCCTCGGCCTCCCAAAATGCTGGGATTACATTACCATATAAGTAAAAAAGTATTCTATTTAAAAATTTCCCTTAAACTTGAATGTCATTTATTCTATTTAAAAATTTCCCTTAAACTTGAATATGTCACTTATTCACTTCTGGTAGTCAAAGGCTCCCAGTTCCTGTCCTCAGCAGCACAGCTCCTTCCATCCTGCTGCTAAAACAGTTGACAGTGAGATTTACCAGTTCACATCAGGGTGAATTAGGTTAATACCTTCTTAAAACTCAGGCTTAGGGAAGGAAGTGATATGTATTAACAGATCAAAGCCTGAATATTTCTCTATAAAATGTTTATTCTGTAGTTTTTTGTAGTAATTTTAGTTTTCCATTACTTTTACGATAAAATCCAAACCCCATAGTAATGACACAGAACGAAGGCCATACCTTATATTTGAAGTGCTCTTTTTTCTTTTTTCACTACTTTTCTTCTTAGCTACACCTCTAGATCTCGTCCGCTCAAGGGTTACCTGTTTAAAGTGGAGTTTTCACCTCCACAGGCTGAATTAGATATTATTTCTCTGTACTCGAATAGCATTCACCACTGTTAACAGCACTTACCAGTGCTGAAACATAATTGATTTCTTGCCTTCTTGACTAAACTGACCTCTATGCAACTCAAAGAACACATCTCAATCATCTCTGTACTCTCTACCTATCAGAGTTTAGTGCACCGTAGACACTCAGTAAATAAACAACTAAATATTGAATTTGTGATGTTACTGAAAACTCCTTTAATGAAAAGCATTTAACACCATAGGGAAGACTGAACACCAGGAAAATTTACTTGCATGACTAATTATCGTGTTCTCTTTTTAAACAATAATTGCTTGTTTTTCTTCCCAAGTATTTATGCGCTGCCAGTTGAGCCGATTACAGAAAGGGCATGCCACAGATGAATGGTTTCTGCTCAGCTCCCATATACCATTAAAAGGTATTGAACCAGGGTCCCTGCGTGTTCGAGCACGATACTCTATGGAAAAAATCATGCCAGAAGAAGAGTACAGTGAATTTAAAGAGGTATTAAATTATTTATCAGTCTTGTTTTTGTTGGAATTAACAGAAACATTTAACATTTAATAAAAGATCCATTAAGGTAAACATAGTAATTCATAGCTTAGTAGCACAATGATGCCAGAGATTTTAAACCTTGTTTTATACTGTAATTTTGGTAGAAATAAGTAGACTACGAATTCATTCTATTTTAAATAAATTTATTCAATGGGACATCATTTTAAATATAAGAACTTGTGAAAGAACATATTTCTTGTTAGTCTCATGGAGCATGCTTATAATGCTACGTACTTTAAACAATCTTTTAAAATGTCATTTTAGCTTATACTGCAAAAGGAACTTCATGTAGTCTATGCTTTATCACATGTATGTGGACAAGACCGAACACTACTGGCCAGCATCCTACTGAGGATTTTTCTTCACGAAAAGCTTGAATCGTTGTTGTTATGCACACTAAATGACAGAGAAATAAGCATGGAAGGTATGGTATGGCCATGTTAGTGTGATACAAGAAACTGGGTTTAGATTTTATATCAAGGATATATGGACTCTATCTCTGAATATACTAAATTGTTAAATTATATTGCAAAATAAGTTATTCTGTTTTCCCTCCTTAAAAATTGCAGTTGGATGTCAGTTCTGATTATGTTGGTTACTATGGGAAGCTGATATTTCTAATGTAGGTTTTGGCAGATAAGTACTAGAAGCCACAAGAAGGTGGTATCTGTGTCTACATCAATGGCTTGACTGTTTGGCATATTTATCTGTATTCTCTTGTTTTTTATTTTCTTTTGAGATGGCATCTCAGTCGCCCAGGCTGCAGTGCAGTGGCGCAGTCTCGGCTCACTGCAACCTCTACCTCTCAGGTTCAAGCGATTCTCCTGCCTCAGCCTCCTAAGTAGCTGGGACTACAGGCATATGCCACCACACCCAGCTAATTTTTTATTTTATTTTTTTAGTAGAGACGGGTTTTCACCATGTTGGCCAGGCTGGTCTTGAACTCCTGACTTCAGGTGATCCGCCTGCCTCAAGCCTCCCAAAGTGCCGGGGTTACAGGTCTTGTTTAATTTTTACTTCTTCATTACACAGAAGCTGGGTGTCAGCTGCATTTTATTTCTAACTTTTATAGATAGGTAGTTCCCAAGCTGCTGGACACAGTGCTTTTAATGGCTTACAAAATAATCCACCCTCCCCCTGGCCCACACACACCACCAAGCACTTTGATTCATTAACAGTTCTTGCTTCTAGGTTCCCCAAATAAATAGTAAAGTTTAGAACTATTTTCCTCCTCATCACAAAATATAGATTTGTCAAGGAATAGATAAAATGGTGGTCCTTATTTTACACTTGAGTTTATCTTTTCTGACAGCATTTGTATTTCATTAAAATTTTACTGAAACTCAGTAGACATATTTTAAGCTAATAAATTAATCTATACTGGGATTTTGTGTTATATCCTTAATTGTAAATAAACCCTAAAATTTCAAAGCATGGGGTCAATGGGCAGCAAAGCTGATTTATGGTCCTAATTTTATCATTAGCTGTCTAATTGATCTTAAGTCATATAACAATTCTGAGTCTTCATTTTTCCATATGAACATGGCAGTGTTAATCCCTTCTGTTCATGATCTAATGAGGTAATACATATGAAAGTCTTACAGAGTTAAGTCTGTAGAAGTATAGGATGTCATTGTAATTAGTACTTTCAACGCTGCACGCAAAAAGCACATTTAAGTGGCTATTCCTGTTGAGGTAAAATGAATTCACTTAATTTCCAATTTGGTCACATTAGGTCAGTCCTTTACAAATAATCTTCTAATGTAAATATTTGTGTAGATGAAGCCACTACCCTATTTCGAGCCACAACACTTGCAAGCACCTTGATGGAGCAGTATATGAAAGCCACTGCTACACAGTTTGTTCATCATGCTTTGAAAGACTCTATTTTAAAGATAATGGAAAGCAAGCAGTCTTGTGAGGTAAGAATTTAATGTTTTAATAAGTATTTTTGCAAAGAACATATTTTAATAGGTAATAATTTGTAGCCAATTACATTTTAAGGAAAATATATTAAATTTCTAAAATTATTCCTCATAGCAGTTACACCTGTCTGTAATACATTTATAAAAATGTTCTGCAAAATGGACTTCTTAAAAAAGATGTACTTTATTTTGGGATTAAAAACCATCAAGTTGCACCAGAAATTCATGAAAATACTTTGTCATTTCCTCTACTGTACTAATAATCTATATACTACTTACAGAAAGCGTGCATAAGATAAATTGAAGGTTTTGTTAGTGACTCATTATATAACCTATGTAGCACTTCATTACATCTTGGTTTGTTCTTGAAGGTTTTTTTGCGAGGGGAGAATTATGAGATAACCTCAACTAAAACAAAAAAATCTTTTTAGGATTATTAAAGTTTCAGTATAAATTCATAATACACTATTAAGACAGTAAGTGGAATCTCACACACATATTCTCTCATTTTAATGGTAAAGCAACTACAAAGAAATAATATATATTAGATCTGATATAAAAATCAGTTTAAGGAATTGTTTTTGACAATGGACACTGGGACCTAGCAAATGTTAATCCTGCACGAAGGTGTCGATTCATACTAATAACTTGAAGGGAAGAAATTAGTGATTTAATGTTGGAAATGTGGGGTAATGCCATAGTTGGCCTAACATAAGGATGACACAGAAGTGCAGCAGGTAGGTAGGGAGTCTCTGGACTTTAGAGATAGGCTACGGAATTCCGACTTCCATAGATAAATGTACTCTGCTGACACTAGATCAGAAGGGTTACAGGAAAAGTTCTGAGAAAGGTTTGTGATTCTGCCTAAGGCATTTGATATTTTTATTAGCCATTAAATAAGCCTCATTCAGAAAAGCTTTTAATCAGCTTTTTTTCCCCTCAAATAAATAGAATTGACTAAGCACTGTTTGCTTTTCAGTTGGCTAATTGGGAATAAATGGTAACAGACCTACCAGGAGGAGTTCCATAGAGAAAACTACTTAAAAACTCCCATTATACAAAGAAAAAAGATCAATACACACAGAGATACCGAAAAATAGACAACCTCGAAAACTATAACTACTTGTTTTCCTCTATTCATTTGCATTTGTCATTGCCAACATGCATTTATATTGATTTATTCCTTCTTTTAGTTAAGTCCATCAAAGTTAGAAAAAAATGAAGATGTGAACACTAATTTAACACACCTATTGAACATACTTTCAGAGCTTGTGGAGAAAATATTCATGGCTTCAGAAATACTTCCACCGTAAGTGGTGAAATTTTCATTTGACAAGAAATTGTGTATCTATGTCTTCAGAAATTTCTATTTCTAAAACGTGAAAGCTTTTCTGTTGTCCTAATATTATTATACTCTGAAAAAGTCATGGTTAATCTTTATGAGATGAATTGTATTTAAAGAAAATAGCTGTCTTAATAAAACCACCCATTATTTTCGTACAAGCCAATATGTCTGGTTTGTACTGTAGTAGCTTGGGGAGTGAATAGAGGTTTATAGTTTCAGATTTGAGATTGTAAAAGATATCTTGTCTATCCATTTAGTCTATACTTGATAGACTAATCACTCTGTTAATATGCTTGTCGGCCTCCAGTATTAGTGAACTCACTTGTTCAGGTAGAAGTTAACTTAAGTCTAAATCTTGCTCCCCAGAATTTGCAGCTGGTTGGTTCTCTATATCTGAAAGTAAATGTCAGGAAGTTGACTGAATAAATTGATGATAAACTTAGTGGATAAAGTTTTCCTTACCCCTTGCTAAATGCCTCATTACCTGTGGCAAAATACTTTTTTGGGTAAAAGGCCAGTTTTATTGAACTGTGGTATATTTGGGTAAATTAAGCTTTTGGCTGCTAGGAGATCAGTGTTTTCACTTGCTTTCTGTGTTGAGATGATTGTGTTATTTTGGCAGGACATTGAGATATATTTATGGGTGTTTACAGAAATCTGTTCAGCATAAGTGGCCTACAAATACCACCATGAGAACAAGAGTTGTTAGGTAAGGCTCATCAATTGATTTGTTAAATCACATACTAATAGGTGGATAATTGTGAAAAATTGAGGAATAACAATATACAATTCAATGCTTTTTTCTTTGGCTTTTATGTCAAAGCCCTGTTGCATATTTTCTAAGTCCAGATGGCTCCTAAACTGAAAGTTACTGTGAGATTTAGCTGCCGTTTGCATTTTCTAAAAACATGAACATTCATTTATAGTCAAGTATTGGGGATTTTTAAACCCTTACAAGATGAGGCTAAAAGTTATATAACAAAATCTGTAGCTAACTTCATATAGTATTCTTCATACATACACACACATTGATTGGCAGTGAGAGAGAAGGGCAGTAATTGACCGATTTAGATATTAATTGGTTTGTTACAATCTGTGACTCTGAGCTAATCAGAACCAGAACATGTAGTTCTGAAGCTGTGTTTCAGTCTGCTCATTGTACCATAATTAGGAAGAACTGCTTTGGCAAATCATGGAATTTGGGAGCTTATATAAAGGGACTTCATTATCATTATTCTATAGGAAGAACTGCTTTGGCAAATCATGGAATTTGGGAGCTTACGTAAGGTTACTTCATTATCATTATTCTAACTTATTTTTCCAATGAAGAAGCAGATCTGTCTGGAGAGGTTAAGTTGAACTAAGGTTTTATAGAAAGCTGGTGGCTAAGGCAGAACTAAAGGTAACTTTCTAAGACCCAATCTGATATCCTTGAGTCTTATTGTAGGCTTTTGCTTTTGTTAAGCATACTCCAACTAATACCCCAACTAATTCCAGGCAAATGGAAGTTTAATGCGAAAGCGTCATGGAATACAGCAGTTTTCTAATAATATAATTTGTTATTTAGAATATACACTGTCATGTCATGCTATATGTAAAATAATTAGGCAACCATTAACACCATTATTACACAGTTTGTTTTGAAAATGTGTTAATCCTGCCTCCAACCTAAATTTTGTCAAGGGGCTTCTATTTCTTTTTTTGGGGGGCAGGTAATATTTCTCTTGGTTATGATATGACATAATATTTAAGAACTACAGATTCTGTTTTTCTTGGCATTAGTGGTGATTGGGAGGAATAGAAAAGAATTACAAGCATAATATTCCAGCACAGTTACGTGTGAGATGTAAATTAAAACTGTTCTATAAATTTGTAAGTTTCAAACAAGTATAACTGTTAAGCAAACACAGCAGGAAATTGTAAACTGTTTCGTGCAAGAGGGTGTTTTAGGGCATTTTTGCCAAGGTTAGGTTTCAGGCTCATAGACCTACTATGTATAATTATCACAATATTTTCAAGTAAAGTTTACAAGATTCTTTAAATTTGGGAAGTCCAAAATTAAAGACTTAATTGTTATTTTTTTGAGACAGGGTCTTGCTCTGTTGCCCATGCTGGAGTGCAGTGGTGTGATTTCGGCTTACTGCAACCCCCGCCTCCCAGGTTCAAGTGAGATTCTTGTGCTTCATCCACCCAAGTAGCTGGATTACAGGCATGCACCACCATACCTGGCTATTTTTGTATTTTTAGTAGAGATGGGGTTAGACCATGTTGGCCAGGCTGGTCTTGAACTCCTGGCCTCAGGTGGTACACCCACCTCGGCCTCCCAAAGTGTTGGATTACAGGCATGAGCCACCATGCCCAGCCAATATATTAGAATTTCTATAAATGCTGTTTGAGAAGTAACATCTTTACTTTCTAAGAGTCCAAAAATTAGCAAACAGGTACATGTTCAAAGGTAAATGCTAAGAAATTGGGTAATCCACTCTAACAGAGAACAGAGATTGTATCTATTAATCTATAGAAGGAATTGCGTAACTCATTATTTTGGGAATAATGCTTGTCTTTACATGGATTATGTCTATCAATCTGTAGAAGGAATTGCATAATTCATTATTTTAGGAATAATGCTTGTCTTTACATGGGGCAAG